>NT_167244.2:3465530-3541150 GCF_000001405.40 Homo sapiens
GGCCAACATGGTGAAACCCCGTCTCTACTAAAAATACAAAAATTAGCTGGTGTGGCGCATGCCTGTAGTCCCAGCTACTCAGGAGACTGAGGCAGGAGAATCGCTTGAACCTGGGAGGCGGAGGTTGCAGTGAGCTGAGATCGCGCCACTGCACGGAGGCCGAGGCGAGCGGATCACAAGGTCAATATGGTGAAACTCCGTCTCTATTAAAAATTCAAAAATTAGCCTGGCGTGGTGGCACACGCCTATAGTCCCAGCTACTTGGGAGGCTGAGACAGAAGAATCGCTTGAACCCAGGAGGCGGAGGTTGCAGTGAGCCAAGATCACACCATTGCACTCCAGCCTGGGCGACACAGCAAGACTGTCTCAAAAAATAAATAAATAAATAAACACAAATACAAATATAGGCATTGAAACCCCTAAAAAAAACCTAATCCAAATCATCATGTATGAAAATATTTCTCTTTTTAAAAATATGGCCCATCAAGAGGTAAGCACAAACTTAAAGTTTTAGAAGAGTTCCCCAGAGAAGATAGCCATGGACCTGTAGATTCCCCCTAGTCTTAACTTGAGAAACACAGGACTAGGAAGGGACCAACAACCTGTGAAGATTCAGAAATAGGAAAGAGTGGCCAGGCGCAGTGGCTCATGCCTGTCATCCCAGCACTTTGGGAGGCCAAGGTGGGTGGATCACTCGAGGTCAGGAGTTTGAGACCAGTCGGGCCAACATGGTGAAACCCCGTCTTTACTAAAAATACAAAAATTAGGCTGGTGTGGAGGTGTGTGCCTGTAGTCTCAGCTACTTAGGAGGCTGAGGCAGGAGAATCGCTTGAACCCGGGAGGCAGAGGTTGCAGTGAGCCGAGATCACACCACTGCACTTCAGCCTGGCGACAAAGTCGCCTTATCCAATTTCCTTTCCTTTCCTGAGGTAGAAAGGAATTTGAGAAATTCTGTCTCAAAATAATAATTTGTAAAAAAAGAAATAAGAAAGAGTATAGGCTCTCCCCCAAAGTGTAGATACTACATGCTTGTTGACTGACTCACACTATCTTCCTCAAGTCTAATTGTGCCAGAGCTCAGCTCTTTGGAGGCAGTCATCAAGGAATCAAGACGAAAGAGAGCCACAAACCAGGAAGATTATATCCTTAAGCCTGGCTAGAGAACAAGACATTTGAGAAAGATACATAAAGAGGATGACAAGTGAAATTTGCTTATCTGTTGGGATAGATGCTTGGACTGGAAAGTGGGGAAACAGCAATGTCTCTCTCCTCTCCCTTTCCCCTAAAGATTTGAGAATGAAATGGAAGATGAGCAGGCATGAGAGGAAGAGATGAAAAGGAATCTTCTTCCCCAAGGGACTGGATCCAGTCTCTTCTTGTCACTACAAATTGTCCTCTGCTCCCTCTCTTCCTTTGGTGTTGCAGGGACCAACATCACCAATACCTCCAGAAATCGTGTGAATGCAAATGGGACATACTTACCCCGTCTTGCTACACAGAAACCTCTCGAAAAGTGAGACTCTGGGTTAAGAAGGTCAAAGAGGGCCAGGTGCAGTGGCTCACGCCTGTAATCCCAGCACTTTGGGAGGCCAAGGCGGGCAGATCACATGAGGTCAGGAGTTCGAGACCAGCCTGGTCAACATTGTAAAACCCCATCTCTACTAATAAAATATAAAAATTAGCCAGGTGTGGTAGCGGGCGCCTGTAATCCCAGCTACTTGGGAGGCTGAGGCAGGAGAATCGCTTGAACCTGGGAGGCAGAGGTTGCAGTGAGCCAGGATCACACCATTGCACTCCAACCTGGGCAATAGTGTGAAACTCCGTCTCAAAAAAAAAAAAAAAGGTCAAAGAGACATCTAGGAGAATGCAAGAACTTGGGAGGAGGGCAATAATTCTGCTCTCTATGATTGCAGAATGTTAACTCCATTTTGGAACAATTCTCCACTCCTTTAAGTGAAGAAAATTGGACTGAGGGAAACCATATTTGACAAGTTTCTGGGGATTTACCTGCAAATATATTTACATCTTACCTGGAGTCACTTCCCTCCTTCCTTTTTTCTGGGTCCTCCCCTTCTAAGATGGCTCAGAGAAACTGGCCATACTCTGTTATTCTCCTTGTTCTATCCCAGAAGGGCATTGTTTGCCTTCATTCAAGACCTAACCTGAAGCCTGGGCAACATAGAGACCCTGCCTCTACAAAATAAAAATTAGCTAGGCAGGGTGGTGCACCTGTAGTCCTAGCTATTCAGGAGGCTAAGGCGGAAGGATTACTTGAGCCCAGGAGTTGAGACTGCAGTGAGCTAGGATCACACCACTGTACCCCAGCCTGGGCAACAGAGTGAGACCCTGTCTTTTAAAAAAAAAAAAAAAAAAAAAAAAAAGAGTTAACCTGAGGCAGAACCCAAGGAGAGGTTCAGGAGCTGGCTTGAGGTAGTTTGCCAGCTAGTGGTTGTTTCATCTTGTTCCTGCACACAGAGCATATGATGCTTGCCCTCTAAATGGATGAAGTAGAATTTTTTTCTTATTCATTCAGTAGCCCTTATTGAATACCCAGAATTTGCCAGTGAAATATGGAGACAAATACGGAGAATCCCCACCAGTAATCTAATGAGAGTGAAAAGTCAGATTAGCCAATGCTCCAGATGCAAAGGAAAAAGTGATAAGTGGCAGGGGAGTTATTTTCAACTGGGGTTGATCTGAAAATACCTCATGGATGGCTTCAGAGAGTTGAGACTTGAAAGAGGGCCGCAAATTTGATATGCAGAAATGGAAGAGACTGCCGGGCACGGTGGCTCATGCCTGTAATCCCAGCACTTTGGGAGGCTGAGGCGGGTGGATCACAAGGTCAAGAGATCGAGACTATCCTGGCTAACATGGTGAAACCCCGTCTCTACTAAAAATACAAAAATTATCTGGGCGTGGTCGCATGTGCCTGTAGTCCCAGCTACTTGGGAGGTTGAGGCAGGAGAATCGCTTGAACCCAGGGGGCGGAGGTTGCAGTGAGCCAAGATGGCGCCACTACACTCCAGCATGACGCCAGCGCAAGACTCCATCTCAAAAAACAAAACAAAACAAAACAAAACAGAAAAAAAGAAAAAGAAAAAGAAATGGAAGAGATTTATTGCAGGTGGAAGAAGCAGCACAAGGTAGGAGAAGTAAGGAAAGCCACTTAACACCCAGGATTATTCCTCTCCAGTCTGTGAGTCTCAGTTTTCCCAGGCTATTCCAATACTCCTTTGTGCTGCCCTGTCACCAGGCATTGAGCTGGTTGGAAGTTTTTACACTCTCACATTCCCCTGCGTTCTATACTCACCACATGGAACCATATGCTGCACTTATTCTCTTCCATTTATTATCTGCATGAGAGACAAAAATTCTAGCTTTCCAAAAGCTAAATAAATTTCCCCTTCTGTTTAGCTTTGGTGGTTTCTGTGGCTTTTAGTTTTGCTGGGATTTGTGTCAAAATAGTTCCTCCCTCCTTTTTGGTCCCAAAGCATTTTGCTGTGCTTCCCTTATAGTCAGGGTTTTCAAGCAGGAGGGAGGCAGCCTTTTTGGCAGTGAAGTGTTTAATGATAACAGCTTCACCTTACTAAACGCTGGCCATGCATTATGACCGTAATACTCAGCATTGTTCTAAATGTCTTGTATATATTAGCTATTTTTCTCTCACACAACTCTATGAACTACTTATTCATTCAGTGATTCAAAGAATTTTGTTTGTTTGGTTGGTTGGTTTTTGTTCTTGTTGCTGTTTTGAGATGACGTCTCGCTCTGTCACCCAGGCTGGAGTGCAGTAGCGTGATCTCGGCTCACTGCAACCTACGCCTCCTGGGTTCAAGTGATTCTCCTGCCTCAGCCTCCTGAGTAGCTGGGACTACAGGTGTGCACCCCCACGCCCGGCTAACTTTTGTATTTTTTTTAGTAGGGACAGGGTTTCACCATGTTGGTCAGGCTGGTCTCGGATTTGTGACCTCACGATCCGCCCACCTCAGCCTCCCAAAGTGCTGGGATTACAGGCGTGAGCCACTGCGCCCAGCCAAGAAATCTTTACTGAGGGCCTCCTTTGTACCAAGCACTGTGCTACATGCTGGGAATAAGGCAGTGGAAAAAGCCTTGGATCTCTGGTAACTTACATTGAATTGAAGATGACAGACGATAAAAAAATCAATAAAATTTAATACAATGTCAGGCACTAACAAGTGCTATGAACACCATGAAGCAGGGTGAGGGGTAAGGGAATGGGATAGAAAGTGCTCCCAGGTATGCATGGTGCTATATTTATTGATGATGATTATTATTATTATTTATAGAGTCTTGCTCTGTTGCCCAAGCTGGAGTGCAGTAGTGTGGTCATGGCTCACCGCAGCCTTGACCTCCTGGGCTTAAGTGATCCTCCCACCGCAGCCTCATGAGTAGCTGGGACTGCAGGTTCATGCCACCATGTCTGGCTAATTTTTTTTTTTTTTTTTAGAGACGAGGTTTCACTATGTTGCCTGGGCTGGTCTCAATCTCCAGGCCTCAAGCAATCCTCCTGCCTCTGCCTCCCAAAGTGCTGAGATTATAAGCAAGAGCCACTGTGCCTGGCCATGGTACTATATTTAATCAAGTGATGAGGGAAAGCCTCCTTGTGGAGGTGATGTTTGTGCAGATATAAATGACATAAAGGAGCAGTCATGCAAGTATCTGGAGGGAGAGTGTCCAGGAAAAGAAAAAGAGAGTGCAAAGGCCCTGAGGTAGAAAGGAATTGGATTTTTATGTTAAATTCAGAAAGGAGGTCAGAGTGAGTGGAGCAGAGTGAGCAAGGGAAAGAGTGGTAAGGGATGAAGACAGAGAGGTGGGGAGAAACAAGGCCAGGTAGGCTTCATAGGCCATGGGAAGGACTTTTTATTTTGTCCCACATGTGATCAGGAGGCATCAGAGGGTTTTGAGCAGGTAAATGATATCATCTGGTAATTTTAAAGATCACTCTGGTTTCTTCATAGAGGGTAGGCCACATCAGTAAAAAATAGAAGCAGAAAATCCAATTAAGGGACAAAGGAAGGGACAATGGAATCATGGGAGCTTGGATTAGGGTAGAGGAGAGGGCCAAGAATAGAGTCCAGAGGCTCTCTAATATTTAAAGGTCTGGAAAAGGAATAGGAGCTGTCAGTGAAGACTGAGAAGGAGCAGTAAATAAGGAACTAGGGAATGCTTTCTTTCTTTTTTGTTTTTGAGACAGCCTGTTGCCTAGGCTGGAGTGCAGTGGGGTTACCATGGCTCACTGCATCCTCGACTTCCCAGGTTCAAGTGATCCTCCTACCTCATCCTCCCAAATAGCTGGGACCACAGGTGTGTGCCATTATGCCCAGATAATTTTTTAATTTTTTGTAGAGATGGGGACTCCTTATGTTGTCCAGGCTGGTCTCAAACTCCTGAACTCAAGTGATCCATCTGCCTCAGCCTCCCAAAGTGCTGGGATTACAGATATGAACCACTGCACCTGGCAGGATAATTTTTTTCTTCTTTCTTTTCTTTTTTTTCCCCCACAATTTTAAACCCAAGCAGTACACCTGGTTGGTTGTTACATGATTACATTGCATCCTGGTGGGGATTGGGCTTCTAGTGGTGTACCTGTTACCCAAATAGTGAACATTGTACCCAATAGGTAAATTTTTTTTTTTTTTTGAGATGGAGCCTCACTCTGTTGCCCAGGCTGGAGTGCAGTGGCGCTATCTCTGCTCACTGCAACCTCCTCCTCGCCCCAGGTTCAAGTGATTCTCCTGCCTCAGCCTCCTGAGTAGCTGCAATTACAGGCTCACGCCACCATGTCAGGCTAATTTTCATGTTTTTAGTAGAGACGGGGTTTTGCCGTGTTGGCCAGGCTGGTCTCGAACTCCTGACCTCAGGTGATCTGCCCGCCTCTGTCTCCCAAAGTGCTGGGATTACAGGCGTGAGCCACTGTGCCCGACTTTTTTTTTTTTTTTTTTTTTCCCGTGATGGGGTCTCACTCTGTAACCCAGGCTGGAGTGCAGTGGTGTGACTCCAGCTCACTGCAACCTCTGCCTCCCTGGTTCAAGTGATCCTCCCACTTCAGATTCCCAAGTAGCTGGGACCACAGGCACATACCACTATGCCCAGCTAATTTTTTGTGTTTTTGGTAGAGACTAGGCTTGTCTCGAACTGCTGAGCTCGAGTGATCCACCTGCCTCGGCCTCCCAAAGTGCTGGGATTACAGGCATGAGCCGTCACACCCAGCCAAATATTTGGTTTTCTATGTTTGAGTTAGTTCACTTAGGATAATGGCCTCCAGCTTCATCCACGTTGTTGCAAAGGACATGATTTCATTTTTTTTTTTTTTTTTTTTTTGAGATGGAGTTTTTCTCTTGTCGCTCAGGCTGGAATGCAATGGCATGATCTTGGCTCACTGCAACCTCCGCCTCCCAGGTTCAAGCGATTCTCCTGCCTCAGCCTCCTGAGTAGCTGGGATTACAGGCACGTGCTACCATGCCTGGCTAATTTTGATATTTTTAGTAGAGACGGGGTTTCACCACATTGGCCAGGCTGGTCTCAAACTCCTGACCTCAGGTGATCTGCCCACCTCGGCCTCCCAAAGTGGTGGGATAACAGGCGTGAGCCACCGCGACCGGCCAATTTCATTCTTTACTATGGCTGTGAAATAATTATTTATTGTGTCCTCCAGTTGCAAGGAGTTTAACAGCATGCCTGGCCGCTGCTCACTAGACGCTAGGAGCACCTCCTCAGTTGTGATAACTGAAACAACTCTAGACATTGCCAAATGTTCCTGGGGGTGGGATGGGAGGATCACCCACTCTTGAAAACCACTGGTCAAGATGTCCCACAGGAGATACTTGGCAAGACAATGCACAGGTCAGACCCCCATGACAAAGAACTATCTGACCCAAAATGTCAATAATCCCTGAAACTGAGAAACCCTAGTTTAGACTCTAGTTGAGAACTTATTCCTGGAACTAAGCCAGGTTTGGCTGTGTTTTCTCGTGGCCCAATAACGAGAAGCAGACAAACTAGGAAAGAAGGGAATTTGTTGCTGTCACCGGATACAGGGAAAGGGTCGGAGATAATTCCACCAGACCAACTCAAAGTGTTACAATTTTCTTTTTTTCTTTTTTTTGAGACGGAGTCTCGCTCTGTCGCCAGGCTAGAGTGTAGTGGTGCGATCTTGGCTCACCACAACCTCCGACTCCTGGGTTTAAATGATTCTCCTGCCTCAGGCTCCCGAGTAGCTGGGACTACAGACGCGTGCCACCACGCCCAGCTAATTTTTGTATTTTTAGTAGAGACAGGGTTTCACCATGTTGGCCAGGATGGTCTCGATCTCTTGACCTTGTGATCCACCCACCTCGGCCTCCCAAAGTGCTAGAATTACAGGTGTGAGCCACCACACCCGGCCAGTGTTACTATTTTCTTAGTGTTTATACAGGTTTAGGTTATATGCCTACATGCAGTATGGCATTCACCAAAGTCTATCAGTAACTAATTTTGTTTCAACTAGAGGGTCAGAGGCAAAAAAATTCTTGCTAAGTCTGATTAAGCTGTGAGGGCCCCAGTACCTTCAAGGCCTGTTTACTGTGGTACCAGAGTGATTATTTCTATCTTATCTCCTTTACAGCTTGGTGCGGAGAGCTGCCTTAGATTCTCCAATGAATCTATTCAAACAGCTGCCTCTGTTACCTTGACTTGTCTCAGATATCGTCGACCCGAGACGAGTCCTGGCACTAGGAATGTAAGGCTGTCTCTGTTATTTTGACTTGCTCCAGCAAGGGAGAAGCCCATGCAAGGCTCTTACTCACCATGTGTTTCATTTCTAGCTTTGATGTCTGTACACCAATTCCCCTAGGTTTAACTATTTGCTCAATGTTAAGGCAATGCTGTGGAAATCTGTCTGTGTAACTGGGGTGCTATGCAGGCCTGTCTGTGTGACTGTCAGGGAGAATTGGCCTGCCACAAACTGACCCTTGACCATTGGGTTTAGAAACTTGGAGGTCATTTGTGACTCTGACATGTGGTTTAAGTAAAGTGGTGGGGATGAGAGCCTGATTGAGAGAAATTCAAGAGTGAATGAGAGGTGAGAAAGTAGAGGCAGTGAGAAGTTTTGTTAAGTGGAGAGAGAAGTGGAACACTGAGGGAGTGAGCTGGGTCAGGGAAGAGTTTTTAAATTTAAAAATAAATGCATTATTTTATACATATAAAATTATAATTTATATGCATAAATATATATGTATTACAAAGAATAATTTTGTGAACATCAGGCAGCTTATGAAGTAAAATCTTCCCATCAGGGCAAGGTGGCTCACACCTGTAATCCCAGCACTTTGGGAGGCTGAGGTGGGCGGATCACCTGAGGTCAGGAGTTGGAGACCAGCCTGGCTAACATGGTGAAATCCTGTCTCTACTAAAACATTAGCCAGGTGTGGTGGTGCGTGCCTATAATCCCAGCTACTTGGGAGGCTGAGGCAGGAGAATCGCTTGAACCCGGGAGGCGGAGGTTGCAGTGAGCTGAGATCGTGCCATTGCACTCCAGCCTGGGTGACAGAGGGAGACTCCATCTCAAAAAAAAAAAAAAAAAAAAAGAAAGCAAAAACAAGAGGTAAAATCTTCCCCAGTATAGTTAAGGCTCCCTGAATTTCCCTTTCCAGATTGCTTTTCTGCCAAAGGGTAAGCACCATTCTCTGAATGTTGTGCTTTTACTACCTAGGTGAGTAGCGAAACAGTTTTTTTCTTTCTTTTCAGAGATGAAGTATAATTTTATAGCATGTTTGCATAATGATGGGAGTGTTGCAGTACAGAGGGGTAAACTGATTAAGTGAGAGAGAGAGAGATAGGGGATAATTTCAGGAATAACATCTCTGAGCAGGTGAGAGGGAACAGGATCCCGGGGTACAGATGAGGTGGCAGGTGGGTGCATGTCAGCTTCTCTGCGGTAGAGTTGCAGGTAGACTGGTGAATTTGGGGTGGGAACATGAGGAAGTTCCCTTCTGAAAGTTTCTGTTTTCTCACTGAAATAGGAAGAAAAGTCATCATCTTGTGAAGTTGTGGTCTCAGATTTGGGGAATGTGAACTGAGTAGGGAAAGGCGAGCTGGCATGCCACACTGAGGGCCCGCAGGAAGCAAGACCAGTCAGTATGACTGTGTGTTTCTCCCCAGCTGTTGAATGCAGGTGTGGAGCAGGCAGAGTGGGATTTGACCAGGGATAAAATGTGCCAGAGGAAGGGGGGCCAGGAGTACAGGGTGAGGGCTGAGAGGCGATTACCATGTTGAACCTTGGAATCTAAACTGGGTAATGAGGAAAGTGAAGAATTGAGATCAAACAATGAAAAGTAAGTTAGTGGATGGGAGGCCCAGATGGGGTTGAAGAATTTTTGGGATAGGGGTACTGGGGAGCAACATGAAAAGACTGAGGATGAGATTTTAGAAGGGCAGTAGGTATTGGTGGCAACCAAGTTGAAGGTATGACATAGGGCGAGAGGGAAGCAGGGAGAAATAAATCACTGCAAGAGAAGGGCAGGGTGCTAGAGAATCTGCATGAACATTGAAAACAAAAATAATAAAACGGGGCCAGGCACTGTAGCTCATGCCTATAATCCCGGCACTTTGGGAGGCTGAGGCAGGCAGATTGTGTGAATTCAGGAGTTCGAGACTGTCCTGGGCAACACAGTGTGACCTCATCTCTATTAAATATCAAAGGCCAGAGGCCAGGCGCAGTGGTTTATGCCTGTAATCCCAGCACTTTGGAAGGCCGAGGCGGGTGGATCACGAGGTCAAGAGTTTGAGACCAGCCTGACCAATATGGTGAAACCCCATTTCTACTAAAAATACAAAAAATTAGCCGGGCATGGTGGCACACGCCGGTAATCCGAGCTACTCAGGAGGCTGAGGCAGGAGAATCGCTTGAACCTGGGAGGCAGAGGTTGCAGTGAGCTGAGATGGCACCATTGCACTCCAGCTTGGGCAACAAGAGCAAAATTCCGTCCAAAAAAAACAAAAACAAACGAACAAAAAAACAGGCCAGGGGCGGTGCCTCAAGCCTGTAATCCTAGCACTTTGGGAGGGTGAGGAGGGCGGATCACCAGGTCAGGAGATTGAGACCATCCTGGCTAACACGGTGAAACCCCGTCTCTACTAAAAATACAAAAACAAAATTAACTGGGCATGGTGGCAGGTGCCTGTAGTCCCAGCTACTTGGGAGGCTGAGGTGGGAGGCGGGAGAATGGCATGAACCCGGGAGGCAGAGCTTGCAGTGAGCCGAGATCGCACCACTGCACTCCAGGCTAGGCGACAGGGTGAGACTCTGTCTCAAAAAAAAAAAAAAAAAAAACCCAAAATTTATCCGGGCGTGGTGGCAGGCGCCTGTAATCCTAGCTACTCAGAGGCTGAGGCAGAGAATTGCTTGAATCCAGGAGGCAAGGTTGCAGTGAGCTGAGATTGTGCCACTGCACTCCAGTCTGGGCGACAGAGCCAGACTCCATCTCAAAAAAAAAAAATAAAATAAAAATAAAAAAAATTAGCTGGGAGGATCACTTGAGACCGGGAGATCGAAGCTCAGTGAGCTATGATCCTGCTGCTGCACTCCAGCCTGGGTGACAGAGCGAGACCCTGCCTCAGAAAAAAAAGAAAAAAGAAAAAGAGGCTGGGCTCGGTGGCTCACGTGTGTAATCCCAGCACTTTGGGAGGCCGAGGTAGGCAGATAACCTAAGATCAGGAGTTCAAGACCAGCCTGGCCAACATGGTGAAACCCTGTCTCTAGTAAAAATACAAAAATTAGCTGGGCGTGGTGGCAGATGCCTGTAATCACACCTACTAAGGCTGAGGCAGGAGAATCTATTGAACTCAGGAGGCGGAGGTTGCAGTGAGACGAGATTGCGCCACTGCACTCCAGCCTGGGCGAGAAGAGCAAAACTCCATCTCAAAAATAAATAAATAAATAATAAAAAGAAGAAAATGAAATGAGCGGTGGAAGTAGAGTGATCAGGTGCTGAATCTTCCATTGTAGAGGGGGAATGATGACCCAGAATCTAATCATGGTTTTCCCCCATCTGTATGAGAGCACCCATACAGATGTTATGGGAGGGCAGAGCCTCTCCTAGAGGATGGAGTCTCTGTCAGTAGAGGTGCCACAGCCAAGGGTATCACCTGCAGAGGGAGGTGAGTCAGATAGGAAGAGGATCACATTGTAACTTTTTTTTTTTTTTGAGACGGAGTCTCGCCCTGTTGCCCAGGCTGGAGTGCAGTGGCACAATCTCGGCTCACTGCAAGCTCTGCCTCCGGGATTCACACCATTCTCTTGCCTCAGCCTCCCAAGTGGCTGGGACTACAGGTGCCTGCCACCACACCCAGCTAATTTTTTGTATTTTTAGTGGAAATGGGGTTTCACCGTGTTAGCCAGGATGGTCCTGATCTCCTGACCTCGTGATCCGCCCATCTCGGCCTCCCAAAGTGCTAGGATTACAGGAGTGAGCCACCGCGCCCGGCCACACATTGTAACATTTTATTTCCTCATGAGGGAGGAGTCTGGGTGAGGTTAAGAGATCTGAGATTAAGAAACAAACATTCCTAAGGAAAAGCAAAAGAAAGCTAAGTCATTTTTTATTCATCTCTCCCTTTGCCTGATTCCTTTCAATTCAATTGAGTTCAAAGATTGGTAGAGGAGGTTTTATCTGATGAGGATCTGAAAAACAGAGATAAGCCAGATTTGACTCTTGCCTTCAAGTAGCTCACAAGGTAAACTGTGTATGTCAAGATATCAGGTGGGAAGAGATGAGAAAATATGCAGATAACATGAATCTTAGATCTAGATACTTTTCTCCTAAAGAAAATTGCCCGGGTTGAAGTCATTTTTTGGCCTTTCCATTCTCCCTGGGTGGTCCTTAAAGTGTCTGTAAACCTGTGATTCCCAACCTTGGCTGCCCTTTGGAATCACCTGGTTATGTCTTAAATACTGATGCCAGAGTTCCACCCCCAGAGATTCTTTTTTGTTTGTTTTGAGATAGGGTCTCACTCTGTTGCCCAGGCTGGAGCACCGTGTTCTGATCACTGAAGCCTCTGCCCCTCAGGCCCAAGCAATCCTCCCGTCTCACCCTCCCAAGTAGCTAAGACTACAGGTGAGCCATGGGGCTCGGCTAAATTTTTTTTTTCTTTTTCTTTTTGAGACTGAGTGCCTCTCTGCCACCCAGGCTGGAGTGCAGTGGTGCAATCTGGGCTCACTGCAACCTCCGCCTCCTAGGTTCAAGCGATTCTTCTGCCTCAGCCTCCTGAGTAGCTGGGATTACAGGCATGTGCCACCATACCCGGCTGATTTTTGCAGTTTTAGTGGAGACGGGGTTTCACCACGTTGGCCAGGCTGGTCTTGAACGCCTGACCTCAGGTGATCCACCCACCTCGGCCTCCCAAAGTGCTGAGATTATATGTGTGAGCCACCGCGCTCGGCCTAGGCTAATTTTTTTTTTTTTTTTTTTTTGAGACGGAGTCTCGCTCTGTTGCCCAGGCTGGAGTGCATGGCACGATCTCGGCTCACTGCAAGCTCCACCTCCCGGGTTCATGCCGTTCTCCTGCCTCAGCCTCCTGAGTAGCTGGGACTACAGGCACCTACCACCACACCCAGCTAATTTTTTTGTATTTTTAGTAGAGACGCGGTTTCACCATGTTAGCCAGGATGGTCTCGATCTGGCCTAGGCTAGTTTTTAAACTTTCTTGTAGAGATGGGGTCTCACCATATTGCCCAGGCTAGTCTCGAACTCCTGGGCTTAAACGATCCTCCTGCCTCGACTTCCCAGAGTGCTGAGATTACAGGTGTGAGCCACTGGCACTGAGCCCAGAGATTCTGATTTAATTGTTTTAGGATGCGACATGGGCTTTCAGATTTTTCAGTGCTCCCCAGTGGATTCTAATGTGTAACCTGGGGTAAGAACCGTTGCTCCAAGGAATGCCTGAAGCTCTGTTTGGAAACCCACTGCTTTAATCTAACCCAGAGGAAAGAGAGACACCTTTTTGCTACAGTGAGGGATGAATTGATCCGGACTTTGAAAGATATTGTAAATAAAATTTGACCAAGTAGAGAGGCAGATGTCAAGAGGGGGAGAACATCATGAGCAAGAGCCTAGATGTGGTCTAAAGCCTCTGAAATTTGTGACAAGCTGCAAACAATTTGGTTTATAATAGGCAGAGATTTGGGAAGGAGGTCTAAGATTTGGGAACAGCTGGGCAAATACCTGGAGGTGGGAATGATGAGTAATTCAGTATGGTTAGAAATTAGAATAAACAGAGAAGCTGGATGATTTTAAATTATGGAAGGTGTTAAAGGCCAGATTAAAATTTTGTAAATAATTGAGTAGGCAATAGGGAACCTTGAAGGGCTTTTGAGCAGTGGAGTTATGAAAGTGTGTTTAGGGAGGCTGATCTGACAATAGTGTGGAGGGAGACTTGAGGTAGGGAGAAGTAGGAAGTAGGGAGACCTGTTGGGAAAGCTGATGCAATAATCCTAATGAGGTAATTTTTCCAGCAAGGGCTGGGGAAAAATTACAGATTCAAAAGACATTGTGGTGGCAGAACTGACTAGGCTTGAGAGCACACCAAAAATAAGGCAGGAGGGAGAGGGAGGAGGCGGCAAATTTCTAGATAAGGAAGAGTGATTGGGAAAATGGTCTATTAACAGAGACAGGGAAGCAGGTTTTCTGTGGCATTTCATCAGTTTGTTTTGGAATGTGTTGATTTTAGAGGACCAGCAAGCATCTTCCATGTGGCTATGATCTTCAGGCACTGGAAAAAACGTCTGCATGTAAAATACAGGTTGGAAAAGCATTTGATTAGCTGAGTTGAGTGAATGAGCTTTTCAAAGGAAAGTCTCAGAGAAGGAAAAAAAATCAGAGATGGACACTTAGGGGAAGGGAGGAGAAAAAGCAAGGAGGGAAGGCAGAGGCGGAATGGTTAGAGGTCTGTGTGTGTGTCGGGGGAAGGGAGGTAATACGTTCTTGAACCTGGGTATGTGGGGAATTCAGGGTCAAGGGACAAACATGGGAGGGCTTAGAGAGGCAGAATACTGTGAAAATGCCATTGATTTGGGATCTGGGTAATTGGTTGCCATTTGAGAGGGAGGTTTCAGGAGAATAGGGTGTGGATGCATATTCCAATAAGTCAAGAAATAGTGGGTATGAAAAAAAGACAGATACAGACATATCTCTGATAGCAATATTCCGCACCCCCCTGCCCCTTTTTTTTTGAGATGGAGTTTCGCTCTTGTTGCCCAGGCTGGAGTGCAATGACTTGATCTTGGCTCACTGCAACCTCCGCCTCCCAAGTTCAAGCGATTCTCCTGCCTCAGCCTTCCAAGTAGCTGGGACTGCAGGTGCCCGTCACCATGCCCGGCTAATTTATTATTTTTAGTACAGATGGGGTTTCACCATGTTGGCCAGGCTGGTCCCGAACTCCTGACCTCAAGTGATCCGCCTGCCTTGGCCTCCCAAAGTGCTGGAATTACAGGTGTTAGCCACCGTGCCCAGCCGTGAATTCTGTTTTTCAAGAAGTTTGGTAAGGTAGGCACATTAAATGCGAAACATCCAAGGGCGAACCCATGATATTCACACCTCACCCCACCCTCCTCCCACATCTCCTATCACATTTCCTATCTCAGTGCATGGCTTCCCTTCTAGATTGTAAGCTCCATGAGGTCAGGGGTCACACCTGCTGTCTGGGTGGATGTCTCACCAGCATCCAGCATGGAGTCTGCATGTTGCATAAATGCATAAATTAGGTTAGGACCCTGTCCTGTGGGTGTACAACCAAAGACCCAAGCCCACTGCTGGCAGCATCCCCTAATCACCACTCCCCTCAGAAAAGAGGCCTATTGGTTGACCTCAGGATAGGAGAGGGCAACTAGTCCCAGGGAGACTTGAGAGGCCATTGACCTCCTCCCTGGGCTCCCACAGCAATCTGCTCTCTTTGCCTTTCCTATACCCCCTACAGTCCAGCATGTGGGGCTCTAATCCAAGTTATCTGCCACCCTCCAGCCCACAGTCAGGAACAGCTATGGGCAGCTGGCATCTCTTCTTGGCCCCCATCACTCTATCCTTGACCAGCTTCTTCACCATGGTCTGCCCTCTCTGTTCTCTTGTCTTCCTGGAGTTCTGGGGATAGTAGGGAATGGAAAAGGGGTACTGGGGAAATAAAGCCTCACTAAGAAAATAAAGCCTCACTGAGAATGGACCCCAAGGTCTTCCTTGGTGGATTCCCAGGGAGCTCCCCTCCGTCCCCCATATTCACGTGTCTCTCTGGCGATCTGGGAATCTGTGTCCCTCACGTTAGTCTCTGTCGGGTTTTCTTTTTTTTTCCTTGGAAGAGGAGATGAAGGGAAGTGAAAGGCGGAATCAAAAGTGGGGAGGGTCTTTGCGGGGCCGCAGTCTTTGGAATTGCGGGCGATAAATCAACTAAGTCTCTTTAATATTGTCTTTCAGAAGTTCACACACACTCACACACAGATCAGAACAAGGCGGGGCCGCCGAGGGGAGCGGGGAGCGGGGACTTGGGAGGTCCATAGCCTGGATTCCCTTCTGCCCGGCTGCCCAGGGGCTGGGATGGGTGGAAGGGAGTATTTACAGAGCGTTTACAGGCAGGTTTCTTATCCCAGGGAGAAGGGTCCTACACCAGGAACTTCCCAAATGTCCTTAAAAAAAGCAAAAGGAAAGGTTCTGGGATTAGCAAGAAAATAGGCAGATACCTGGGTGGAGGAGGGACAAAAATGTACTTGCAAAAAACAGGAGTGTGGGGGCCTTACTACCCCAGGGCTCGGTCCTTTTGCCGGAAGAAAGGGAGGGGTCTGTCCGTCTGTGGGCGAGGCCTGGAGCCACAAACCCAATCACTGGACTGAATCACCCCGCGGAGAAGAAAAGAAGGCGGAGCCTGCCGACCTGGAGGCGGGGTTTTGTCAGAGCTGGGGCGGTGCTTATAGAGGAGGCGGGGTTTTAGGGACCAAACCGAGGTTGCTCGGTTGGGGGCGCTACACTTTGAGGGTGAGGGGGCCTGGAGCGACTGAGGGTCCGGCGTTTGGCCGGGATCCCGGAAAGCGGCGTCCCTGGGGGTGTGGGTTTTGGAGGGGTTCCTGAGGAACTGGATTCCGAGCTTGCTCGCAAGGCGAGACGTTCCGTGGAGGCGGAGTTTACGATGTATCCAAGTCTGACGGCCCCAGAAACGGGTGTGCAGGGCGCCCATTGGGTCCGCGGTATGACTGCAGAAAGAGCCTGGGAGATCGAGGGGCGCAGAGTGGGGCCGGACCAGGGGCGTTTTTAGGGATCCCAGTAGTTCTCGTGGTGCTGCGCGGCGATGATGATGACTACGGTGAGGATGGTACAGAGCACCATGGCCGCGATGCCCACGGCCAGGGAGATGAAGGAGAAGTTCCGGGCCTCGCGTGAAGCGATCTCGGCCGACACCATGTCTCCGCGGGCCAAGGCCGTGCGCACCTACGGAGGAGGGGTGGGGGAAGGAGGTCAAAGAGCTGCGGCCTCGTTCGAACGCCTCAGCCTTTCTCTAAGATGGTCCCCAGAACGCCCAGAACTCCCTGTCCCCGCCCCCAAACCGAGTATGCCCCTGCCCCCTACCTGCACGGCCTTGAAGATGGCAATGATGCCAGTAGGCCAGAAGCAACAGATGGTGGTCAGCACCGCGATGGGCATGTAGTCGTGTGGCGGGCGCCTCGGCTCCAGTAGGGCCAGCCCTGGGCCCTGGGGCGGCGGGGGGAGAGTGGAGGTCACTCCTGTTCCCCCCGGGGTCCCGCCTGCATATGGCTGTGGAAGGAAATTTGGGGGGCAGGGGCATCACTCTGACCCTCTCCCAGCCTACCAGCGTTGGGCGGCTGGCAGAGTGGCTTTAAAAGCACAATTTTTACCTATGGCTTCTCAAAATAAAGCACCCATTACCCTTCCAGGACACCCATAAATTCCACCTAAGCCCCTCTCCTCCCTTCCTTGCTTCATTAACCACCATATTCTTGGGCTTTCTACATTCTCTCCCGCAAGGTATGGTCCCACTGGGGCTGTCCTGGCCTCAGGTCAGACCTTCTTTCTTCCCTCCAGACACCTACCAGGCCTCCCCTACCCCCTTAGTCCCAGGCTTCTCCCACATCCCTCTTGGTTCCCAGCTTCCATTCCCCCCGTCCCCCGCCAGGCGGTTTCCTACTTTCAGACCTCCTCTGAACCTCTAGGCTCCGATCCCCCTCCCAGGCCCTGACTCTGGGCACCAGTAGACTCCTACTCCCGTGTCTCTCCCTAGTCCTTCCTGTCTCAGGCTCCCTTCTTTCTAGGGCTTGTCCCGGGAACACTACCTGTTCCCTGCCCTTGTTCCTCTATCCTACCAGCCCCCAGCGTATCCCCAATTTCAAGTCCTGTATCGCGTCCCCCTCTTTCCCATGTCCCTGTCTGCCCGGCACTCACCGTGCCCACCGGGTAGACCGGCACGTAAGCAGTGCAAGGCTGCAGCTGCAGGGGGTATCCGGGCGCTACGTAGCCCCCCAGCGGCAGCGTGCCCACAGTCCCCGCGTGCGTGGGCACCACGAAGCCAGGGGCCTGGGCAGTCTGGGCTGGCGCCGGCGGGGGCGGGGCGGCGGCAGCGGGCGGCGGCGGGGGAAGTGGGCCCTCGAAGCGAGTCTCCTGCAGGTAAGGGTCGGGTGGCATGCGGGGCAAGGTAGCGCAGCCGGGTGGGGGTGCCCCGGCAGCAGGGCCGGGAGGGGCGTGGTGGGGGGGCCTCGGCAGCGTGGCAGAGGAGGAGGGACCGCGCTGAGCGGTGGCCGCGGAAGAGGCCAGGCCCCCTGCCCCTAAGCGCGGGAGGGTGGCGGTGCCAGACTGATGGTAGTGGTGGTGGTGGTGATGGTGTGAGGAAGGGGCTGCCTGTGGCGGTGGGGCTGGGGGTTCGGCTGGAGGCTGAGGGGCATTGTAGGGCGGCGGAGAAGTGTGAGGGACTGAGTCTGGGAGTCCTGGGGGAGGTGAGTGGAGGAGAGTATAAGAGGAAAGATGACACAGTGATGAGTTGAGGAGGGGGTAAGGGGAAACACAGCCGGTCAGGGATGGAGAAAGATAATGGGAGAGACACATAGAGAGAGACGGGTGAGAAACCATCTCTAATTTGAGGGGCAAGAGAGGGGCTGTATCTAGGCCATCTGCCCCCCTCCTTCTTCCTTCCAATCTAGTTTTGAGGTCACAACTCTGGTCTGCTTCTTTTCTGTCTTTTTCATCACCATGCACCCAGCTCTCACCTGCAGACCTAATCCCCTCTCCTTTGCTATAGCTGCCTTTGGGCTGGCCTATCCGAGCTAGTCCTGTGTGTGCGTATGCGTAGACATGCAACCCTGTGTTAATATGTGCTCAATTCAACAGTTGTATAAACACATGTGGGATGACATGTGTTCCACTCTGCTGTTCCTTCAGTGGGGGGAGGAGTGCCCCAGCCTCTGTGAGAATCTCGGGACCTCTTTTAGGGCAGATTAAGAAGAGCCCTCTGGATTTTGCTCCCTTGACAACCCCCATCTGGTCATGTCTCCATATTTCCTCACAGGATGTCTCCATGCCAGCCAGTGATTGTCCATCTGTCACTCCCAATGATGCCATCCCTGCAAAACCTGGCTGTACCTCCTTCACCCTCTCAACCTACCCCCCTGACCATGTTGTTGGCAAGGGGCAGAGGCTGCCACTGGAAAGAGGAAAGGAAGAGAAAGGGGGAGACAGAAAGAGGAGGGGGACTGGGGGAGTGTTGAGAGCTGGAGAGAAGGGGAATGAAATAGAACCACAGCTGAGGAGGGGTAAGGGAGGGGGTTGGGGCAAGGGGGACGGAGAGTCTGGAGACAGTGGAGGGGGTGGGAGGTTTTGTTATTGTTTTTACCTGACTTTTCGGATGACATGCCTGCGGTCTCGCTGGGACAGGGTCCCTGCAGCCGGAGTGGGGGTCCTCGGCCGGTGCTGGAGTCTGGGTGCTGGATGGCGCAGCCGGCAGCAGCGCAGAGATGGAGAGATGAAGGCAGCGGCGGGGGGGGGGGGGCGGGGGGGGCGGGCGGAGGGAGAGCGGGGAGGGGGGGAGCTTAAAGGGACCGAGGCGAGGGAGGGGGAGCGCTTCAGATGTTTCCCACTCGGTCTCTCTCTGCTCTCGGACCACCTCTCTCCTCCTCTTACCCCGGCATTCAAGCCCCCAGTTTGGGCTCCTTTGGAGTTGTCATGGAAACACGGAGGCTAGACCAGGCGAGGCGGGTGGGACTAAGGAAAGGAAGGAAGGAGAACTCTCTGGAGTCTCCCCCACCAAGACTCAGTGATTGTATTGTGGGAGGAAGTGAACAGGTTCTCAGTGGAGTTAATAACCCAGGTGCCTCCAGAGGCAGGTCGTCTCCCCCTCTTAGCTCCCTGCAAGGTGCCAGGGTCTTCTCCCAAATCCTTGGCCCCAGTTTCCTCCTCTTTAGAAGAGATAAATACTTGTGTGTGAGAGAGAATTGTGCAGAGTTCAGAACTGCGATGGTCTGAAAAGTTCCCAGGGTTTGGTGAACCTACCAACCTAGCAGTAAAGAGGGAGGCCCAGGTCTGTAAATCAGGGGGAGCTGGGCCTTGGAGGGAAAAGGGAGAGAGAGTTTGGGCGGTGTGCATACATACCTTCTTCGTCCAGGACTAAGGAGCTGAAGCTCTTTTGGAGGGGGTAGGGGGTATGACTTAACTGCTCATTTCTGGCAGCTCTGTTGGTAATGTGTGCTTGTTCCCCCACTTTCCCTTTGCTTTTGAGGCTGCTTAGAGTCTCTGGGCTGGTCAATGTTCAGATCCATTCCCTAAACCCCCCTACTCCCACCCACCACCTCCCACCAAGACGCATCTCCAGCTCCTGAGTCGACCTGCAGTACAGCGTTATTAGTCTTTTTATTTGCTTATTGCATCTTGGGAGCGCGTGGGTGGGTGAAGGGAGCGAGGATAGGAAGTCTATGGAGATTTACACCAGTTTTTTTTTTTTTTTAAACAAAAACACAGCCAGATAATCATTATTCTTCCCTTACGTCCCCCCAGCCCCCACCTGGGGCAGTCGCTCTCCCGGCTGCGTCCCTTTTCGTCCATGTCCTAGCAGAGACTACAGAGCAGTACAGAGGCTCTCGCTGAAACCAGTCCCAGGCTCCACAGAGTCAGATCACGGCTTCACACCAGTCGTTCTGGTCACTTAGGCGTTCGCGTGAGCGCTCAACCCCTTACCGCCACCTCATCGTCACTCTACACCATTCTGAGCGCAAAAATGTTTTGATTGAGACAAATTTAGACCAAGCAATGACCTTGTAAACAGAGAGAGGGGCTCAGACATGCTGAGAAATCCTTATCTCTAGAGAAACGTCTTTAAATGCTAAGTAAAAGCCCTAGCAAGTAAAAGCCCTGAGGCACTAGGGTGTCGGTTAGGGGTCACAGGCGGAGAGGTGGGGCGCCTGGGGGTTTCGGTAGGGAGCCACCCACAGATAACTCAGACAGCCAGATTCTGGGGGTCGTTCAGGTTGAAAGACTGGTCGAAATTACGCGGGCATGAGTCAGCGCATCCCTACGCGCCCTCCGCCCCTTGAGGGTGGGTCGCTTATAGGGAGGGGAGTAGAGTAGGGCAGGAGAAACTGGGCCAGGCTGCACTTAGCTCAAGGGGCCTCGAGGACTCTCTGCGTCTCTGGAGACAAGGGCACTACACGCACTTCAGAATGAAGAGTTGTAAGTCGCTGACCTGGGGCGGACTGGAGGGTGGGGTGGGGTGGGTGTTGAGGGGCACGCCCGGGCTGGCATCAGCCCTCCAGGCCACCCTGCCACTCACCCAGCACACGGCAAAATGCAGAGGACTACCTTTCCCTGGTCCGCCCCCTGGCCGCCCCTTGGGGAATGCAAACTTCGTGTCCTGCTGCGGAGCCAGACGCCTGTATTGGGAAGTGGGGAGAATCAAGGCGGGGAAATCGGACTTTTGGGTCGCTGGGGGCAACGAAGCCTGGAGAGGCCTTCTTTCCATTCCCAGAATATGTTTGCTGCTTTTTCCTCTCCCCACTGGCCTAAATGGATCGCTCCGCCTGTTTCCTCCCCAGCACCTAGGGCGCAATGGAATATTCCATTGCCCCTCCTGTCCTGGGTCTGTGTTGCGGGGAACGCTCGCGCGGTTGCCAGAGAAAGCCCCGGACGTGACGGATTTGCGCGACCCCAAGCAGCCCGCCCTTCCCCCTCCCATCCGTCATTCCCCTGCGCTCTCTTTCCTCACCCTTCCCCCCGCCACCGTGGGTTCCAGACTTGGGATAAGTAAACAGCGGGTGGAGCGAGGCCTACGGACCCAGGCCAGGTGGGAGTCTGCACTCTTCAAGGGGCCTGGGCTGCTGCTCACGGGTATTAAAGAACTCCGCGTTGTTCATGGCTGAGGCGATGCATTAGGAAGATCCTGGACCTAGAGAACAAGTCCCCCGAACGCTGAGTTGGAGGCGGGACTTCGGGTGCGCGTTGGTGCGTCAACGTGGTGGGGGGGTGTGTTTGTAGGGAGAGGGCTGGAGTAAGTTAAAAGTAGGCTATTTTGTGACACGGACCTGGTGTGGGAGCGAGAGGAGGTGGCTTGATTGCCGGGCGTCTGTTCCGAGGGAGGAGGGTGTTGCCATCTCCCTCACATGCCCTTATCACCCCTTTCTCAGGCGGGAGCATGCTGGGGCTCTGGGGGCAGCGGCTCCCCGCGGCGTGGGTCCTGCTTCTGTTGCCTTTCCTGCCGCTGCTGCTGCTTGCAGCCCCCGCGCCCCACCGCGCGTCCTACAAGCCGGTCATCGTGGTGCATGGGCTCTTCGACAGCTCGTACAGCTTCCGCCACCTGCTGGAATACATCAATGAGGTCTGGCAGGGGACACCTGGGTGCAGGGCGTTAGAGGCGTCTACTGTGGCAGGGGAGGGAGAGCGGGGAACTGAAAGCCACCCCTCTGGGCCTGCCCAGTTCCTCAGGGAGCTGGTGCTGGCGTGGGGGAGAGTTGGGGGACGGGATCCCTGGTTCTAGCAGGGTACAATAGACCTGTGGACGCGGGCCAGGGGGTGGCGTGTGGGAGCTTCTTAGCCTATCCCCGGTGGCTGCATTGCCCCCTTCCCACAGACACACCCCGGGACTGTGGTGACAGTGCTCGATCTCTTCGATGGGAGAGAGAGCTTGCGACCCCTGTGGGAACAGGTGCAAGGGTTCCGAGAGGCTGTGGTCCCCATCATGGCAAAGGCCCCTCAAGGGGTGCATCTCATCTGCTACTCGCAGGGTAGGCGACTCCCCTGCCCCTAACTCCTAAGCCCTATCTGAGGCTTGATCCTTATCTGAGGGACACTTCCTAGCGTCCCTTTTTCTGAACCACATTGCTCCAGGCACAACCCTGGTACCTGAGCCCTTCCTTTCTGACTTCCCTCAGCACCTGGGTCTCATCTCTGTCTTGAATGGGAGGGAGGCTCCCTACACTGCTGCCCTTTTGCTTCCTGTTACCCATGGTTCTTGGACATAAGGGCTAATGGGGCAGGTAAAAACATCCTAGAACTAGAGGCAGGAGGCCCAGCATCTAATTCGGGCTCAGTCACTTATATGATGTGTGACCTTTTGGCACAGGGTGTGCCTGCCTTCTGTAAGCCTCAGTCTCCTTTGTGTACAGTGTGTGTCTGTGTGTGTCTCTGTGTGTGTGTGTGTGTGTGTGTGTGTGTGTGTGGTGGGGGTGGGGGGTGCTGCTGGCTTTGCTGTCCTTAAGTGCCTGCCCAATGTGGTGTTCTGCTTACAGGGGGCCTTGTGTGCCGGGCTCTGCTTTCTGTCATGGATGATCACAACGTGGATTCTTTCATCTCCCTCTCCTCTCCACAGATGGGACAGTATGGAGGTGAGTGGGCACTAGACTCCATAGAATGCCCTGAGTTTTGGGGGAACAGAGGTTTATGGTCACTTAGCATTGCCATTCGCTTGCCAGACACGGACTACTTGAAGTGGCTGTTCCCCACCTCCATGCGGTCTAACCTCTATCGGATCTGCTATAGCCCCTGGGGCCAGGAATTCTCCATCTGCAACTACTGGCATGGTGAGTGGGGATGCTGAACTGGGGCTTCCATGGATCAGGTCAGTTGCTTCCACCTCTGCTACAACCAATAGCAGTGATGACAATAAAGATAACTTACATTTATTGAGTTATTTGAACAGGCTCTGTTCAGAATTTTTTTTTTTTTTGAGACGGAGTCTTGTTCTGTTGCCCAGGCTGGAGTGCAGTGCACCATCTCGGCTCACTGCAACCTCCGCCTCCCAGGTTCAAGTGATCCTCCTGCCTCAGTCCCCCTAGTAGCTGGGATTACAGGCAGGTGCCATCATGCCCGGCTAAGTTTTGTATTTTAAGTAGAGATGGAGTTTCGCCATGTTGGCCAGGCTGGTCTCGAACTCCTGACCTCAGGTGATCCACTCGCCTCGGCCTCCCAAAGTGCTGGGATTACAGGTGTGAACCATTGCACCTGGCCCAGAATGTTTTAAGTGTGTCACCTTATTGCCTTAGAAGGTTTAGTCTGATGTGGGAGTCAGCAAACCTTGTCTATAAAGGGCCAGAGAGTAAATATTTTTGACTTTGTAGGACATATAGTCTGTTTCACAACTCCTCAATTCTGCTGTTGTAGTGTGAAAGCAGCCATGTACCATATGTGAATGAATGTGCCTGTGTTCCAGTAAAACTTCATTTACAAAAACAAGTAGCAGGCTGGATTTGGTCCTTTGGTCACAGTTTGCCAACCTCTAGACCAGACCATGGGGCCAGAATACTTGGGTTTGAATCTTGACCCTATTGGGTGCCTTTGGGCAAGTTACTTAACCATTCTGTTACTCAGTTTTCCTTATCTGTAAAATATTATAGCATGTACTTCACCAGGTGGTTGTAAGGATTAAATAAATAAATGAATGCAATGTACTTTGAATAGTACCTGGCTCATATAGTAGATACTAGATAGAAGTACTTGCTATTGCCAGGTGTGGTGGCTCACACCTGTAATCCCAATATCTTGGCAGGGGGAGGTGGGCGCATCACCTGAGGTCGGGTTCGAGACCAGCCTGGCCAACATGGTGAAACCCCATCTCTACTAAAAATACAAAAAAAATTTAGCTGAATGTGGGCACACGCTTGTAATCCCAGCTACTCAGGATGCTGAGTCAGGAGAATTGCTTGAACCCGGGAGGCAGATGTTGCAGTGAGCGGAGATCCTGCCACTGCACTTCAGCCTGGGTGACGGAGTGAGATTTCATCTAAAAAAAAAAAAAGTACTTGTTACTATGTTTACGGTTGTTATCACTACTATTATTATTTTGAGATGGAGTCTCACTGTGTCTCCCAGGATGGAGTGCAGTGGTGCAGTCTCGGCTCACTGTAACCTCCACCTCCTGGGTTCAAGTGATTCCAGCGCCCCGAGTAACTGGGATTACAGGCATGCACCACCACGCCTGGCTAACTTTTGTATTTTTAGTAGAGACAGGGTTTCGCCATGTTAGCCAGGCTGGTCTCAAACTCCCGACTTCAAGTGATCCACCTGCCTCTACCTCCCAAAGTGCTGGGATTACAGGTGTGAGCCACCGCACCTGGCCTACATTATCACTACTATTTTATTACTATCCACCTTGACTATTGCTGCAGCTTCCTTATTGGGCTTTTCACCACCAGTCTTGCCTCCCTTTTCTGCTTCTTTTTCTAACTGCTGTTTGTACCCAGATCCCCACCACGATGACTTGTACCTCAATGCCAGCAGCTTCCTGGCCCTGATCAATGGGGAAAGAGACCATCCCAATGCCACAGGTGAGAATTCAGGCTCCTACCTGTGTTGCTTTTTCTGCTTCTTTGACTCCCTATGTCTCCCTCTCCAACCTGGCCTGACCCCTGTGGCTGACTCAGCCTCTCTTCTTCCCATCCTACAGTATGGCGGAAGAACTTTCTGCGTGTGGGCCACCTGGTGCTGATTGGGGGCCCTGATGATGGTGTTATTACTCCCTGGCAGTCCAGGTAATAAGGGATTTTGTGGCCTGAAGATTGGCTAAAGACATCCCCCAACCCCAGTTGGTCTTTATCTCATGCCTAAACTGGCCTGCTCCTTCCACTGTTCAGTTAGTGCTCCTCCCCCCATTCATCATGTCACCCAAGACCAAAACCTGGGAGTCATATCCCAACCCCTTGTATCAAGCCAGTCACTAAGTCCTGCTGACTCTTCTCCTCTCCATCCCTATCACCCCCTCCCCCACTTTATAAAAACTTTTAATTTTGAAATTCTTATAGATTCATAGGAAATTGCAAAGATAGTATAGCGAGGCCCTTCACCCAGCTTCCCCCAGTGGTTGCATCCTATGTAATTATAGCACAGTATCAAAACCAGGAAATTCACATTGGTTCAATGTGTGTGTGTAGTTTTATACCATTTTATCACATTTCCTACCACCTCTTTACTTACCTGGACTATTATAACAGCCTCCAGCTTTGTCCCCTCCATCCTATTCCTTAGAAAAAAATCCATGGCTCCATGGTACTATGTGCTTGCCTGTGTTATAGGTCACCATGTGTGATCTGTAATGTCACCTGAGCTACTTGAATTGCTCAACAAATATTTATTCAACATTATGGGCGCAGGCTTGTTCTGGGCCCTAGGGATGCAGTGGTAAATAAAAGAGAAGTCCCTAATGTTATGTAGCTTATATTCTAGTTTGTAAGATAGCTGATACATACATACAAATATATATGTCAGGTAATAAGGCAGGGGAAAGGATTAGAGGATGTCCGGGGCCTAGTTTCAATAGTGGCCGAAGAAGTCCTCCTGGAAAAGTCACCATTCAATTAGAGACTGAAGGAAGTGAAGGAGGGAGTTGTGCTCTGGGTGGAAGAACCCCCCAGGGAGAAGGTCTGGCACCTGCAGAGGCCCTGAAGCACGTGTGAGCAATAAGGAGGCCAGCATGGCTAGTGCACAAGGAGCTGGGGAGAGGACAGGAGAGGAGCTAAAAGTGGTAGCAGGGGACCAGGCATGTCAAACCTTAGCAGGTCAAGGTAAGGCCCTTGATATTTTTTTTTCTTTTTTTTGTGATAAAATATACATAACATAAAATTGCCATTTTAACCATTTAAAAATGTACAGTTTTGTGGCATTAAGTATACTCACATCATTGTAAAACCATCACCCATCAGCACCATCCATCTCCAGAACTTCTTTTTCCCCAAACTGAAACCGTATACCCATTAAAAAATAGACTGGGTGTGGTGGCTCACGCCTGTAATCCCAGCACTTTGGGAGGCCGAGGCAGTGGATCACCTGAGGTCGGGAGTTCGAGACTAGCCCGACCAACATGGAGAAACCCTGTCTGTACTAAAAATACAAAACTAGCTGGGTGTGGTGATGCATGCATGTAATCCCAGCTACTTGGGAGGCTGAGGCAGGAGAATCGCTTGAACCTGGGAGGCAGAGGTTGCAGTGAGCTGAGATTGCGCCATTGCACTCCAGCCTGGGCAACAAGAGCGAAACTCCATCTCAAAAAAAAAAAAAAAAAAAAAATATATATATATATATATATCCTCATCCCTATTTCCCGACAGTCCCGGTAACCAGGCTTTTGATTTTTTTTTTTAAATTCTGAGTGAGATGGGAAGGCACTGGACAGTTTTCAGTGAAGGCAGGACATCTCTTAAAATATTGTAATAATATAATAGTAAGTGATGAGTTTTATGTACATCATGTCATTTCACATCTACCACAACCCTATGAATGACAGTGATAGCTCATGGTTATATAACATTTTTAATGTTCCAAGTCACTGTTTCTTCCTTTTTTTTTTTTTTGAGACAGAGTTTTGTTCTTGTCGCCCAGGCTAGAGTGTAATAGCACAATCTCGGCTCACTGCAACCTCCGCCTCCTGGGTTCAAGCCATTCTCCTGCCTCACCTCCCAAGTGGCTGGGACTACAGGTGCCCACCACCATGCCTGGCTAATTTTTAGTATTTCTGGTAGAGACGGGGTTTCACTGTGTTAGCCAGGATGGTCTCGATCTCCTGACCTTGTGATCCGCCTGCTTCGGCCTCCCAAAGTGTTGGGATTACAGGCGTGAGCCACTGCGCCTGGCCAATATATATCTCTCTCTATATATAGATAGATATATATTTTTTGAGTTGGAGTCTTCGCTCGGTCGCCCAGGCTGGAGTGCAGTGGCGTGATCTCGGCTCACTGCAAGCTCTGCCTCCCAGGTTCACGCCATTCTCCTGCCTCAGCCTCCTGAGTCGCTGGGACTACAGGCACCCGCCACCACGCCCGGCTAATTTTTTTGTATTTTTAGTAGAGACGGGGTTTCACTGTGTTAGCCAGGATGGTTTCGATCTCCTGACCTCGTGATCCACCCGCCTCGGCCTCCCAAAGTGCTAGGATTATAGGCGTGAGCCCACGCACCCGGCCTTGCCTGGCCAATATTTTTTAATTAAAAGATTTTAACTCCATCTGGCTGGGTGCGGTGGCTCACGCCTATAATCCCAGCACTTTGGGAAGCCGAGGCGGGTGGATCACCTGAGGTCAGGAGTTCGAGAACAGCTGGCTAACATTGAGAAACCCCATCTCTACTAAAAATACAAAAATTAGTGGGCCTGGTGGCGCACGCCTGTAGTTCCAGCTACTCAGGAGGCTGAGGCAGGAGAACTTGAAACCAGGAGGCGGAGGTTGCAATGAGCCGACAGGGTGCCACTGCACTCCAGCCTGGGTGACAGAGCAAGGCTCTGTCTCAAAAAAAAAAGAAAAAAAGGATTTTAAGACCTTTCTATTTTGAAATAATTTCATACTTAAGAAAAGTTTGCGCCTGTAATCCTAGCACTTTGGGAGGCCGAGGCATGAGCCCAGGGGTTTGAGACCAGCCTGGGCAACATGGCAAAACCCTGTCTTTACCTAAAATACAAAAATTAGCTGGGCGTGGTGGTGTGCCCTTGTAGTCCCAGCTACTTGGGAGGCTGAGGTACGAGAATTGCTTGAGCCTAGGAGGCCAAGGCTGCAGTGAGCCGAGATCTCACCATTGCACTCCTGCCTGGGTGACAGAGTAAGACCCTGTCTCAAAAAAAAAAAAAAAAGTTACCAAAATAGCAAAAAGCAGTCATTTATACTCCTCACCTAGATTTCGCAAATGTTAACATTTTGTCATGTTTACATTAATATCTTTTTTCTCTAAATATATATACATTTATTTATATACGTTAATGTTATATTTAAATATAAACATAGATTCAAATTTTCCTGAATATGCGCTCACAGATTATTCAAATTTTTCCAACTGTCCTTACAGAAAAAAATATACAGTGGAAGATCCAAATCAGGATCTTGAGTTGCATGATCTTGTTACGTCTCTTTAGTATCTTTTTGTTTGTTTGTTTGTTTGAGTTGGAGTTTCACTCTTGTTGCCCAGGCTGGAGTGCAATGGCAAATCTCGGCCCACTGCAACCTCCGCCTGCCAGGTTCAAGTGATTCTCCTGTCTTAGCCTCCTGAGTAGCTGGGATTATAGGCGCCCACCACCATGCCCAACTAATTTTGTATTTTTAGTAGAGACGGGGTTTCTCCATGTTGGCCAGGCTGGTCTTGAACTCCTGACCTCAGGTGATCCACCCTCCTTGGTCTCCCAAAGTGCTGGGATTACAGGCATGAGCCACCACACCTGGCCTCTTTTTTTTTTTTTTTTGAGACAAAGTCTCACTCTGTCGCCAGGCTGGAGTGCAGTGGCGCCATCCCGGCTCACTGCAACCTTTGCGTCCCAGAATCAAGCAATTCTCCTGCCTCTGCCTCCTGAGTAGCTGGGATTACAGGCGTCCACCACGCCCAGCTAATTTTGTATTTTTAGTAGAGACAGGGTTTCTCCGTGTTGGCCAGGCTGGTCTCGAATTCCTGACCTCAGATGATCCACCCTCCTCGGCCTCCCAAAGTGCTGGGATTACAGGCTTGAGCCACCACGCCCAGCTAATTTTGTATTTTTAGTAGAGATGGGGTTTCACCACGTTGGCCAGGCTGGTCTTGAACTCCCGACCTCAGGTGATCCGCCGGCCTTGGCCTCCCAAAGTGCTGGGATTACAGGTGTGAGCCACCTCGCCCGGCCAGTAATGCATTTTTGATGGGGTTTCTACAGAAGTGAGGTCGTATCTTCAGTGTATCACCTCATGAAGTACATTATATCCAGTAAGGTAGTTTTGAGTGTCCTCCCTGCTACCTGTCTCCCCAGTAGGCCTTGGGTTCCTTTGGGACCTTAGCCCACCTTGATTTCTTCCTTTCTTTTTTCCTTTTCTTTTTTCTTTCCTTTTTCCTTTCCTTTCCTTTTTGAGATGGGGTCCCGCTCTGTCACCCAGGCTGAAGTGCAGTGGTGCGATCTCGACTCAATGCAACCTCCACCTCCCGGGTTCAAGTAATTATCCTGCCTCAGCCTCTTGGGTAGCTGGGCTTGCAGGCATCTGCCACCATGCCCAGCTAATTTTTGTATTTTTAGTAGAGATGGGGTTTCACCATTTTGGTCAGGCTGGTCTTGAACTCCTGGCCTCAGGTGATTTGCCCTCCTTGGCCTCCCAAAGTGCTGCAATTACAGGCGTGTGCCACTGCGCCCGGCCAGATTTTCTCCAGCTCTTCTGATAACCTCCCCCCAAATCTCTTTGTAGCTTCTTTGGTTTCTATGATGCAAATGAGACCGTCCTGGAGATGGAGGAGCAACTGGTGAGCCCCCTGGGATTACTTCCCCTTCTAGCCGCTGTCCCACCTTATTCCAGAGCCCTCTCTGTGACTCCTGAGCTGAAGGGTTCACCCTGTGGGGAGGAGGTCCAGGATCCCAGCAGTAACTCACTTTGTCTCTCCTTGTGTCTCTCTTCCATGCTTCCACGCCCCTTCGACCACCTTGAAGGTTTATCTGCGGGATTCTTTTGGGTTGAAGACTCTATTGGCCCGGGGGGCCATAGTGAGGTGTCCAATGGCCGGTATCTCCCACACAGCCTGGCACTCCAACCGTACCCTTTATGAGACCTGCATTGAACCTTGGCTCTCCTGAGGATATATTCAGGGGTCCCCAGGAACTCCTCGGTCCAGAGACCAAGTGGTGGCCTTGGAAAGCAGATGTCAGGCTTTGGTGTGCCTGTGACCACCTCATTGCTCCCATATTATCCCCCATTTTTAGTAGAGACGGGGTTTTAGTAGAGACTTGGCCTCCCAGAACCCCCTTCCTCTGCTCCTCCATGAATGACAATTCCAGGCCTCCCCTACCTCATGTCCTCTCATTTGGGGGATTGCTCCGTGCTGTCCCTTTCTCTCAAGGCCGAAGTTGGGAAGTGAGAAACCATGTTTTTAACTTGTGGCTGCTTTTGCTGCTGCTGCTCCTCCGTATCTGGCTGTATGGGTGGAGAACCCACCCCCTGCCCACCACAGGGGTCTCCTTCCAGGCCACTCAGGACATTTTTAGCTTCTCTCCTCCCCATGTTCCCTTTTTTCTCTAAAGTCCCCTGACATCAGCCCTCCCAACTCCTAAGAGGGACTACCCATGAGAGTGGGGTTCTGAGGCTCCCCTATGGGGACAGTTCCGTTCTTGAAGTGTCAGTGTTGGGGAATATCTGTGGCCTATGAGGCCCATCTCAGGTTTGGGGATCCCCCAGTCCCTATGATCAGTGTTGGAGTACCCCCCTGGGAGAGCCTAGTTTCTTTGAGGCCCCAGGCCCTCTTTTAACTACCTTTGAATAGGTGTTATCCCTGTATTTATGGAAATAAAGTTCCATTTCCTCAGTGTGACTTGGCTCATTTCCAGGTGGAGGGGACCTGGCTCCCCAAGGAGGGTGGGGGCGGAGCCTGAGGCCTGGGTGCCCAGATGCCTGGTCTAGGGTGGGGACCCCCTTGGTGTTTCCGCTCTCTCTCAATGCCCATTCTTTGTGGGTTCCTGGTTCTCTGCGGGTTCTTTCCTGCTGAAGACAATTCTCTTCCTCTCCCAGTCCCCAAGACTGGGGGGTTAAGCTCAGGGCTCCAGTGGTTTGGGCCTCAGCCTCATGGGTGGAATGCGCCTGCCACCCCCAGGCTAGACGAGGGGGCAGAGGGTCAGGGTGGGCATTCGTTGTGCCGCTTTTGAGCTTTGTGGGCCAGAGCTGGGTGTAGGGCTGGACAATGAGCCTCCTCTTCCTTGAAAGAAGGAATTTTGGCTGAGACAATAGGGCCCTGTCTGTTCTGGCATGGGGGGTGGTGGCTGACTCAATTCTGTTCCCCCTAAGCCCTAACAAATGTCATGAAGAGAGGGGGGCAGTTTTCCCCTTGGTGCCCTGGGCTGCCCCCCTGCCCCTTTGTGACGACTTGCCCTTCTAGCTTTCCTCAGCTGATCTTGCTTTTTCTCCCATAACCTGAACTGCTTTGTTCCCTGCAGCTGGTTCTCTCCCTGCCCCCTAACTCTCCCCTAGTCTGTTTTGGGTTCAAGGGGGTACTGGTGGTGTTACAGAGCTCATAGCTTCTGATCTGGGGAGTCCAGAAATAGGGGCCTCAGAGGGTTGGAAAGATACTTCTAGGGAGCCCTTTGCTGGGATGGGGATGAGGGTAGTGGGACTTGACCCTACTGAGCTGACCCTGCTGGAGCTAAGGAGGAGGCTTGTGGGAGGGGGCAGGAATGGGAGGACTCTCTGGCCCAGCCCCTCCTCTCCTTCTTAGCCTGCCAGGCCCACCCACCAGTCTGAGCTGCTTCTGCTGAGGCTGGTCTGCTTGAAGCCTCCCAGGAGAAAGAAGCCAGGTGGGAATGGAGAGAGAGAGGAAGGCAAGTGGGGAGAGAATTTCAAATGGGGAAAGAGTGGGGTTTACTCAGAGCCTTAGGGTGGGCATGAGTTGCGGGGTGTTTTGTTGGAGCAAGGGATGTGCATTTAGGGCGTTATGTGACGGTGTGGGTATATGAGGGGAGTAGCAGTGTGTGAAAGGTGTGGAGTTTCCAGGTGCTTGGTTTGTGTGTACGGTGTGAAGGTATATAGCTAGGGGTTTTTTTTGTTTGTTTGTTTTGTTTGTTTTTTTGAGACGGAGTCTTGCTCTGTCGCCCAGGCTAGAGTGCAGTGGCATGATCTTGGTTCACTGCAACCTCTGCCTCCAGGGTTCAAGGGATTCTCCTGCCTCAGCTTCCCGAGTAGCTGGGATTACAGGCGTCCACCACTGCGCCTGGCTAATTTTTTGTATTTTTTAGTAGAGATGGGGTTTCACCATCTTGGCCAGGCTGGTCTCGAACTCCTGACCTCATGATCCACCCACCTCAGCCTCCCAAAGTGCTGGGATTACAGGTGTGAGCCACCGCGCCCAACCAGCTAGGGTTTTGAAGGTATGAAGTTATAAGAGGGCATGTTAAAGACAGGAGGGTTGGCCAGGCATGGTGGCTCACACCTGTAATCCCAGCACTTTGGGAGGCCAAGGCAGGCGGATCACCTGAAGTCGGGAGTTCGAGACCAGCCTGACCAACATGGAGAAACCCCGTCTCTACTAAAAATACAAAACAAAATTAGCCGGGCGTGGTGGCAGGCGCCTGTAGTCCCAGCTACTCGGGAGGCTGAGGCAGGAGAATGGCATGAACCCGGGAGGCGGAGCTTGCAGCAAGCCGAGATCGCACCACTGCACTCCAGCCAGGGTGACAGCGAGACTCCGTCTCAAAAAACAACAACAAAAAAAAAACCAAAAAAAAAAAAACCCTAGCTATATACCCTCACACCCTACAAAACAAAACAAAACAAAATTAGCCAGGCGTGGTGGCGCATGCCTGTAATCCCAGCTATTTGGGAGGCTGAGGCAGGAGAATCACTTGAACCTGGGGGGCGGAGGTCGTGCGGTGAGGCAAGAACATGCCATTGCATTCCAGCCTGGGTAGTAAGAGCGAAACTCCTTCTCAAAAACAAAAACAAAAAAAAACCCAAAAAAAGACAGGAGGGTCATAAGGGGAGGGTTGACTGTGTGTCCCTCCAGGTTGTGCAGAGGGGATTAGAAGTAAGTAGGTTAGAGGGGAGGTGGAGGGAGTGTGCTGGGGTGTGAGCTTTTATGATGCTGAAAGGATCATGATATGCTAAGGACAGGATAGTGTTGGGTTGTACACACAGGTGTAGGCAATCCTGGTGGCTAGTATGTAAAAGTGAATGTCCTGACTCCCTTAGAGGGTACCTGCAGAGTGCCCTTGGAGGGACTAGTGCTGGAGAAATTAATAGGAGAGGGGACGGGCATCCATTAACCTTTTCTTGCCTGCAGCCTGTAGGGTCCAGCGTCAAAGCGAATCATGGGGTCCAGGGCTGAGCTGTGCACTCTCTTAGGCGGATTCTCCTTCCTCCTGCTACTGATACCAGGCGAGGGGGCCAAGGGTGGATCCCTCAGAGAGAGGTGACAACAGAGGGGGTAGGGCCCGGGGTGAGCTCTTCTCAGGAGCCTTCTGCTGGGGGTGGGGCTTCACAGGAGGCAAAACATAACTGTAAGTTTAGAATGGGGGTGAGAGGCTGTCATCTGGAGGGAGAGCGGGGGGCCTCAGTAGCCTCTTGAGGGAAGTGGGACTCCTGGCTCCCCAGGGCCTGGCCTACTCAATCTCTCCCACCTCATCCTCTGGCATGGACGCAGTCAGGGAGTCTGCTCCAAGCAGACACTGGTGGTCCCGCTCCACTACAACGAGTCCTACAGCCAACCAGTGTACAAGCCCTACCTGACCTTGTGCGCTGGGAGGCGCATCTGCAGCACTTACAGGTGAGGGATGGGGAGATGGGACCCCAAGAACCCCAACTAGGACCCGTACTCAGGGTCCTGAGCCGGGCGCTGTGTTCCAGGACCATGTACCGCGTTATGTGGCGGGAGGTGAGGCGGGAGGTTCAGCAGACCCATGCAGTGTGCTGCCAGGGCTGGAAGAAGCGGCACCCGGGGGCGCTCACCTGTGAAGGTGAGGCTGGGTCTTCCGGGCCTTGCGGGAGGCGCGCCCCACGGAGCTGGGGAGCTGGGTCGTCGGTTTGAGTCTGAACCCCACTTCCTCTGTCCTCAGCCATCTGCGCCAAGCCTTGCCTGAACGGAGGCGTCTGCGTTAGGCCTGACCAGTGCGAGTGCGCCCCCGGCTGGGGAGGGAAGCACTGTCATGTGGGTGAGTCAGCTTGTCCTCCCCACCTACCCAGGTGCTTGCCCCCGCCCCCTCTCTCAGCCCCTTCCTTTTTTCGGTAACTAGACGTGGATGAATGTAGGACCAGCATCACCCTCTGCTCGCACCATTGTTTTAATACGGCAGGCAGCTTCACCTGCGGCTGCCCCCATGACCTAGTGCTAGGCGTGGACGGGCGCACCTGCATGGAGGGGTCCCCAGAGCCCCCAACCAGTGCCAGCATACTCAGCGTGGCCGGTGAGTGGGCAGGAGTACGGGCCACCCGAGGGACTCGGGACGGGCGTCCGGGCTCGGGTAGTGGTCACACTCTTGGTCTCCTTTGTCCCTAGTTCGGGAGGCGGAAAAAGATGAGCGCGCTCTGAAGCAGGAGATTCACGAGCTGCGAGGGCGCCTGGAGCGGCTGGAGCAGGTGAGCCAAGCCTGCTGGGTGGGGCGAGGCCAGACGTCACTGTCAATACCCTGAGGCATCTCTTCCTTTCTAGTGGGCCGGTCAGGCTGGGGCCTGGGTCAGAGCGGTGCTGCCCGTGCCGCCTGAAGAGCTGCAGCCAGAACAGGTGGCTGAGCTGTGGGGCCGGGGTGACCGGATCGAATCTCTCAGCGACCAGGTGCTGCTGCTGGAGGAGAGGCTAGGTGCCTGTGAGTCCTCACACTCCTCCCGCCTTGACTTCTATTCCCCAACTTTCCCCAAGACCCCTCTCCATTCAGGCATTCCCTCTTTCCTCCAAGCCCCTCTCCAACATTCACTATCCTCATGCCTCTCCACTTTACCATCGTTCTCTTCTGAAATCCTGTCCCCAGCCCAACAGTTTCACTTATTGTTTGGTGAGAGTGGCAGTGTAGTCCACTCCAGGCTGACCACAGCCACTGTGTCTGCCATGTCATTAACCAGGCTCCTGTGAGGACAACAGCCTGGGCCTCGGCGTCAATCATCGATAAGAAGCCTCTACAGCACCCCTGCCCCCTAATTTATACAGAAACCGGACCCACTAATCCTCTGGGATTGGCCGACTGTGAGCTGCAGATAAGGCTATCAGCCACCAAAGAGCAATGAACAATGGAAACTTCAGAGAGCTGAAGAAAGGGGGAGGCCTGTGTTCTTGGCCTGCCCCTGAGTCTTCTGGCTGGGGGCAGGTTGCCTGGGCAAGAACTGCTTCTTCAATTCCTTAACAAATGCAACCACCAACACCCAGATCTCTCTCTCTCTTTATTTTCAGTTTTTTTGCTGTTATCCAGATAATTAATAAAAACCAACCACGCAAAACTGGGTCCCACCCTCTCCTTTTGCTCCCAGCCTACCTCCCCAGTTGTGGGAACAGGTCTGGAGTGAGAGGCAGGGAGTGGCTAATGCCACCAGGAAGAAATGAAAACTGGCTCAGAGAGGGGGAAGCCTCAACAGAAAAAGAAATAAATTAAAAGCCCTCCTATCCCCTCCAGCCAGGGTTCGTTCCTTTCCCCAACTCCCCAGGGGGCAGAAGTGAGTGCAGCACCTGATGTCTGCTTCTTCCCCTTGTGTCTGGTGAGATGGTGCAGCAGGGCTGCAGGGGGCTGGGTGGGGTCATGTCCACTGAAGAACTGTACTATGGGGACAGAAAACCAGAAATGTGGAGACTGAACTGGTATCCCAGAGAGTGCACGACCCTGGGCATCTGGGCAAGGGCAGGCATGAGACCTCTGAATTAGAAGGGTCCAGCCCCCACTGACAGGAGGCTACACTGGGAGGGAAGGTGAAGGTGCTGAGGAAAGCTCCCAGGATGAGCCTGGGAGTGCTTCAGGTATCAGCTTCCAGCCAGAGGGCGAGAAGTCCTCCTCACAAATGGATGAGTCCATTGAATCCATGGACTTTGGAGTGGGGGGGATTTGTTCCAAAGAATGGATGAGTCCACTGGCCAATGTGGGGTAGAGGGGTAGAGAAGACCACATAGGAAGAGACTCCACTGGGGATGGAATGTTCCCCTCCCTTGTGTAGGCTGAGTCACTGGAGATGAGGGGGAGGCAACTGTCCCACAGACAAGACAGTAGGAGGTGGGGGTCAAGAGTGGAAACTGCACCGAGGCAAGAGTCCATGGATGGGGCCAAGAGGGGGCAGGAGTGGCGCTGTATCCACATTCACTTCAGAAGTTGAAGATTCCAAAGAGGAGAATAAGTGGGGAGAGGGGAGACAAGGAAGAGGGTTTGGCCCTGCTTCAGGGCCCACTGGGTGGGTAGGTGTGGGGAGGAAGATGGGGACAGATGGGAGGAGAGCTCAGAGCCAGGGTTCACCCACCGCCCCCAGGCTTCTTCAGATAGTCACCACCACCCCGGCCATCAGTGGAGATTTCCCGGAAAACAGTGAGCATGGAGTGCCGGACTCTGTCAGCCAGAGCTGGGACGTCATCTGGTGTCAGCCCTTCCGTGGGCACTGGGGGCAGCACCCGCACCTGACATTGTCCTGGGGCAAGGGGAGCACCATCATGGCCTGTCCACCCAGGTCTTTGCCCACAGGTGGGGCCCAGCTTCCGAGTGATACTCTTCCTCAACCTTTCAGTTCTCTTCCCCCAACCCTGGACAACCATCCCTGGGCTTGCCAGCTGCCACTTCTGAGGCCCTTCTCCTATACAAAGCCTTCTCCAATCCCCAGTTCAGACATCTCCTCAGCACCCCTCCAGCCCCCCTCCTCTGGGTTTGGCATTTACTGCTGAATGAGTGTTATTCATTACAGCTTTGTGCACACAGGCCTTATCTTTCCTGTTAAGATTAGTAACAGCCTCTCTTGGTGGGACCAAGTGCTACCCATCTGGCAGGGTATGGTGGGTGCTTAGTAAAGACTTATTGGCTGATGTGGGGTTAGACTAGATGACTGTGTAGACATCTCATGGCTCTGACACTGAATGATCCCCCTGCCTCACAGGGATGTCCTCCCAGCCTCTCCGGACACACCCTACCCCAGAACTGCTCAAAGCCCTCACCCGAGGTGAAGCGACGCTCCTTCTTGCAGTAGAAGTCTTGGTAGGAGGACATGACTATGGGGACAATGGGAACCTGGGGAAGGGTTAAAGCAGGTCAGTCCACAGCTCTCTTCAGAGACTCCTACAATAAGCCCCTGCCCAGAGATGAGGGAATGGTGGGGGTTGGCAGCTGAGTAGCAGAACGAAGAGCAGTAGTCACCTGGGCCTGCACTGCAAGATGGAAGGCGCCACGTTTGAAGGGCAGCATGGAGCCATTGTGGTTTCTCGTTCCCTCAGGAAACACCCAGACCCTCACCTGGGGGAGAAAGAGGGTCAAAGAAGACAAATACATATGGAGGAGTCAGAATAGGTGTGATGTTATAATGGGACCTTTGAGGCCCACTGGCCCTGCATATCAGTTTATTTACAACTGTTCTACTCTGTATCCCTCCAATCCCCCATTTCCCCAGGATGACTCACGTCCTGGGTGAGCAGGGTCTGGGCGACCTCAGACATGACACTGATGGCATCCCCCGTGCGCTTCCGGTCGATGAAGATGACTCCTGCCAGCCAGCAGGCCAGCCCGGCAGAGCCAGCCCACAGTAGCTCGCGCTTGGCAATGGGCACACAGCGGCCTGGCAGTACCTCCATCATCCCTTGGGCAGGGTGGGAGTGGGTGAGGATCGGGGTGGAGGCAGAGTGTCACAGAAGGCAACCCACCTCACCCAGCTCATCACCCTCTGGTAGGGACTGGAGGTGAAGGAGGAGACTAGGCAGGGAGGGGGGCCCCAAGTGAAGGAAAGGGTGACCAAAAGTATATGTACCCTGCTTATGAGGGCAGTTCTACCCAGGGAATGAAGGCCTGAGTGGGAGGCAAGGGGGCAATGTCCCAGAGGAAGGGGAATTGAGGATCTCTAGGAGAAGATATTCTAGGGAAGGTTTCAGGAGGGGAGGCATGGCTGGGGGAGGTGTGCCCTGTGGTGGGGTCTCACCAAGCAGATCGAGAGAGCTCTGGTGGTTGGAGACAACAACATAGGGCTGCGAGGGAGGGAAGTGGTGAGCCCCTCGCACCTCCACTCGGATCCCGTACAGGTATTTGATGTGGAGCAGCATTAGACGCAAGATCCTGTGGGGTCATGGCAAGGGGTCCCAGTGGGATCCATTGATGTCCATCTGCATGCCTCAGCTCCCCCCACCTTACTGTCTTTCTGACCACCTTTGCAGTCCTCTCCCCATTCCCTGTCTCTGGTCTCTCTCAGTCTTTTCTACACACACCATGCCCCCTTCCCCCAATCCACTACTCACTTTGTACCCTTAGGTTCCCTCATTGCCCAAGACCCCTTGCCCCTCACTTCATGTTCTCGACGTTGCGTCCTCGCACGGCACACACAGGGATGGCGAGCACAGCCAGGAAGAGGATCCAGCCATTGTAGAAGGCCATCTTGAAGAAGTACTTGGCACTGGGGCTGCAGAACCACAGGGTGGGCAGCAGGAAGAGCAGCAGCAGGAAGAGCAGCAGCAGCAGCATCCATGCCCCTGGCCACAAATCCATTCTGGCCACCTGCAGGGGATGGGGCAAGGGACAATCAGCCTGGTTTCTGGAGGAGAGTGGGGTAGGCAAGGCACAGAAGGCAGGGCTGGGGGCTGGTGCTATGAGGACAAGGGCCTGAGACACAAACTGGGGCAGGGGTCTCATTGAAACCTTCCCAGGAAGGCTCTCTAGGATGAGGGTGGTGGAGAAAGAGCTCAGGACTGCTCTCCCACCACTCTTCCCAAAGGCTCCGGATATATTCAGACAAGAGACACAAGACACAGACATCTACAATTCACAGATACCTGATAATAAATGACAACAAGAATAATAGCTAACACTTGTAGCTGGTAAGGGTCTTATAATGGTCTATACTTGTGCTGTCCGAGAAAGTAGCCACCACCTACATGTGGCTACTTGAAATGCAGCTAGTCTGAACTGAGATGTGCTGGAAATGTAAAATACACATCAGATTTCAAAGACTGAATAAAAAACAAAATGTGAGATATCCATTACTAATCTTTTATGCTGACTACATTTTGAAATTATAATCTTGGGCCAGGCGCAGTGGCTCACGCCTGTAATCCCAGCACTTTGGGAAGCCGAGGTGGGCAGATCACGAGGTCAGGAGTTCAGGACCAGCCTGACCAACATGGTGAAACCCCGTCTCTACTAAAAATACAAAAATTAGCCGGGCCTGTTGGCGCATGCCTTTAATCCCAGCTACTCGGGAGGCTGAGGCAGGAGAATCGCTTGAATCCGGGAGGCGGAGGTTGCAGTGAGCCAAGATCACGCCACTGCACTCTAGCCTGGGCAATGGAGTGAGACTCCATTTCCAAAAAAAAAAAAAGAAATTATAATCTTTTGGATGTTATCAGATTCAAGAAAATATATTACTAAAATTAATTTCACTCTTTTTGCCTTGTAAAAATGTGGCTACCATAAAAAAATTACATTGTGGCTTGCATTATATTTCTGTAGAACAGTACTGGTCTATACATTAAGTTAAACTCTTAAAATGATGCATATGATAGTCTAGAAAGTACTATTACTATTTACATTTTATAGGAAATAGGCCCAGGGAGGCTAAATAACTTACCTGAGGTCATACAGCTCCTAAACAGCAGTTTCTAGGTTAAATCTAAGCCGCCTGTGTTCCTAACCACTCCATTACGCTGACACTGGTATGTATTGCATATATATATACGAACACAGCACACAGCATATATGGTGATTGTGACAGAACACTCACAGCCATATACCCAAGGGCCAAATGGCAAGATTAAAAGTTCGTGTCACTAATGCCAACAGACACACAGTCATACAAAGACTAACATGTTCACACATAGACACAAATTTATAATTACACCCAGTGACAGATAAAAGAATGTAAATGCATAACTAGAAAAATCCCTCTCCACCCAGGCAGCTCCCCTATTCCTAGGTAAACTTATGGACATACCTGGAATAGCTACAAAGACCAATCCTACCTCCAGACAGGCAAACGAATCCTACTACCCTTTCCCTTCCTTCTAGTGACACTTTGCGTGGGCAGGTACAGTGTGTGAGGCCTCACCAAGTGAAAAAAGGAGGGAATGGAGTAAAGGTGACCTAACAGCACTTGCCCTGGGAGAGGAAAGGGCTCAAGAGGAAGAGAGGCAGGAACACAGAACCTGTGTTCTAGGTTCTTCCTCCTTCCTCCACTCTGCCCCAGTGTTGGGGGCAGGGTAACAATTCACAAAAAGGGTGTTCAGGCAAATACCTGTCATTCCTACTGAGGCCACAGGCACTGTCTTCCCATGATGGGAAGGGCTATGCTCAAAGGTAAGCCTATTGCCAAGCGAGAAGGTAACAGGCAATAGAGGAAACAGGAGACCCTGCCAGTTGGAATACCGTAGGCTTTCTGAGCTGCTCCATCCCACTGCCCCTACAAGTTCAGAACAGCATCATTTCTCCCCTGAACTATGTGGAGTAGGCTCCCAACTCCCTCCAATCCATCTTCCACGTAGCAACCACAGAGATTTTTCTGTTAGCACAGATTTTTCTGAAACACAGAGCATTTCCCTGTCTTGCCTAAAGGCTCTTCTTGATAAGTTGACTTCTGCTTACATCTTCGACCACATCCTCACAAAACTCTTTGTTCCAGTCAAACTGATTCACTTCAGTTCCTCAGACACCATGATCTTTCATGCTTCCCCACCTTGAACATGCTGTTCCCTTTGGCTGGAATGCCTGTCTCTTCTCCTGCCTCACACAGCTCAGTGTCACCTTTTGGAGGGCTGCCTGAACCCCTCCAGGCCTGTGCTTTCCTTACACTTTTATCTTGATCAGCGGGTCTCGAAGTATAGAAATGCAAATTATTAGACTTCACCCCAGATCTACTGAATCAGAAATTCTGGGCATTAGGTCCAGCAATCTGTTTTTCTTTTTCTCACTCTGTCACTCAGGCTGGTTTTGAACTCCTGGACTCACGCGATCCTCCTGCCTCAGCCTTCCAAACTGTTGGGATTACAGGTGTGAGCCATCGTGGCTGGCTAGCAATCTGTATTTCAACAAGCCCTCTGGTGAGTCTGATGTGCGCCTGAATTTAAGAACCACTGATCTTGACAACACACTATGTGTTGACTGGCGTTTTTGTTTCCCTCCTTAGGCTGTAAGCAGCTTAAGGACAGGGACTCTGTCTTATCTCCAGTGCCAGGACAATAGGAGATGGAGTAGGTGCTCAATAAACACTTGCTGAACAGATTCTAAGGCTGTATACCCACCCATAGAGCCACAGTTAATGACAGAGATGGCGGTTCTGATCACAAATTAGATAGTTATCCTCTTGAGTAGAAGTGACTACTAAAAGAAGTCACTGAGAAAGTAACGAACACACCAAGCCTAATGGTAACCGACTCTGAATAGATACATGCAATACATAGCCATAATGAAGGCAGAGTAACAATAATCAGGAAGAGGTCATCTCACAAGAGAAATGTACCGAATGGGATCAAGATGCCACAGGGAAAGATGCTGCTCTCATCAAATGTGTGCCAACAGTGCAAAGAATGGAGGATAATGTCCATAAATAAATACCAACAATGGGGTTCACAGCAGGATTGACCCTGTGACATGCATTGAGCTCATGGACACAGACTGTACACAGCCACTGGAAAGATAATGTTTGTGTAGAGAGGTATGGGCCAGGGAGGTCACCAAGGTAAGGCATGCAGGGATGGTTCTTTGCAGACCTGGAGACCCAGTTACCTTCTTCTCTTAACACTTGATATTAAGTGACCCTCTTTGGAGAACAAAAGTCCAAGGATTTAGAAATGCAATGGAGGGCCAAATTTAATGAGCATACGGCTCACAAAATATACTGATGACAAATTTATAACACACATTCTATGGTCCTGTTACATCAGTGTATCATGCAAAGGCGCATACACATGTGTTCTGTGAACTGTGACTGGGAAAACACAGCAAACAGGCCAATTCAGTCAGACATCAGAGTGTGGGGTATTCAGCCAAGCCATGGGATCCCACACATGAAGACTACTGCAAATGGTAGGACCATGGACATGTCAGCCAAAGCAAAATAAGGTATATAACCTTCACATGCTGAAATAAACATGCCAAAACATAAAATGTGCAAGTAACATGAAATTATAGAACAGGTGCAATATATGAAAACTCACACACATGCGGTACTTAAAACATGTCAAAACTGGATGTGAGACATGGACACAAGAATGAAGAATGGGCAATTCTGATAGAAAATAACACACCATTTCTACACAGCCTATGGATAGCATTGGGACAACCTAGTTGCACACAAGCCATTAAACATGTCAAAGGCACACAGACTCAATGTAGAAAACATGGCTCCCATAAGGCATTTGTGTGTCAGTAAGGGTCTAGCAGTGTGGAAGGCCACTGAGAAACAAGAGGTCCTGTGCCTAGATGGAAACAGAGGCACCTAAGGGTATTCCTAAGAGGCAAATTCTGCTGGCCTTCTCCCCTCATGACCCTTCAAGAGTCATGTGGGGTCAAAGGGCAAGAAAAGGAATTGGGGAAGGTGTAGGGAATTCCCTCTCCAGGATTCCCTGTGCACGCTCCCAGTCCCAAATTCACAAGGGTTTCCATTTCTCCTCCCTCCCAGGTCTCTTCCATCCTTCCTCCCTCTCAGGTCCCCTCTCCTATCCCCAGCAACCCTCTTCCCAGTCGGCCCCTCTCCTTTCCCCAGCAACCCTCTCCCCCAGTCGGCCCTCCCAGACCCAATCTCTCCCCTTCCCCTCATCCTAGTCGCTTTCAGCACCCTCTTCCCTCCTCCTCCCATCCCTTTCCCGCCCACACCTCAGAGGGGTAGGGGGCCTGGGGGGCTGGCCCCCTCCCCAGCCAGGCTGCGGCAGCGGTGGTGGCGGATGGCTGTGTCTCTGTCTCTGTCGGGGTGTCGGTGCCAAGGGGGCGACGGGATTTGGGGGTGTCCTAGCCCCGGCCGATGGAGGGGAGGTGGGAGTGGGAGGTTGGGCCCATAGCGGTAGGAATGGTGGGGGGCTGTCCCCCCAGCACCCTCCCTCCCTCCCTTTCTGCTGTCTCTCTGAGGGCTGGGGCTGCTGCCGCCGCTATTCCCCCGCCACCCCTCCCCAACGCCTGCTGGTTTCCGGGGCCGGCCAGGAAGTGGAGGGCGGTGATGGGCAGCCTGTTTTGCCAATCGTCTCCCAGAAACTCTGGCATCTCCTCCCCACATCTACCAGTGTCCTCTTGCGAGCCCCGCCCCAGGGCTCTCCCTCGGTCTTTGCCCCCATCTCTGGCTCCAGCTGCATCTTTTTTTTCTCTAACTCCCTTTCAGCTCTGGATCCCCTGGTGCTGTATTCCTCCTTCCGCACATTCCTTCCTTTATTCTCCATCAGCTCTCTTTTAACTGCCACTTTTACTTGGTCTCTTTTTTTCTCAACTCCGGTTATCTGCTGCTTATTCCCCCCAACTATTCTTAAGGACCCCTTTTCCCGTACCCATTCAATTCTAAACATTTATCAAGCATCTACCTACCATATGACAAGCATTAAGTTCACCTCTCTTCTTTTTCTCTCCAGGACTCCATCTCACTCCATCTCACTCTCCAGTCCTCTGGTCTGGTTTCCTTTGCCCTTTGTCCCTCACTATCTCCCAGCAGTCCAGCTCCCCCCTCCACCTGCCTTCTCTGGCCTTTAAAGAGAAGAGATCTCTTTGGCCTTATCCCTGACCCTTTCCTTTTCCATGCTCTTTTACCTCTGTACCTTTTCTTTCCTACTTCCTTCGTATCAGTCTCCTTACTTGCCCAAGCTGAGACAACCCCTTCTCACAACATACAATATGGGTACATCTTTTCTTCCAATGGAAATTTGGCTTCAGGGGTGCTTTCTAGAAAAATAAAAAGTGAGGAAGAATGCCGATTCCTCTGGAATGCGCGTGCCTCCTTAATTTGGTAGCCATGTATCTAGTTTTCCACCCCCTCTTCTCTTCCTCCACTCCCATTATCCCTTTACTAGGATCATTCCATCACTTCACTCTCCTTCATTTCCACCTTTCCCTCTCAATATCTTCCTTCCTAAACCTCAAGCTTCCTGAATCCTCATCTGCCCCAGTCCTTCTTTACGCAACTGCTAACTTCTCATCTTTCCTTACTCTTGAGTCACATGGGATCTTTTATCAAGGTCCCCCCTCTAGCCACACCTTTACCCTGCATTAGTTTACATGCCCTCGGGAAGAGGATTGGTAGTGGGAGGACTGTTACCTAATTCTGCTCCTTTAGTCACAGTGAGGGTCAGTGATTGTAGGAAAAGCCCAAACTCCCCGGGGTCCAACCTGGGAAGAAGACCCTATTTCTGATGGGCAAATTATAAAGAGGAAAGGGCGGGTCTAGCCTCCGCGGGTCTCCTTAAAAGGGGCGGGCTTTGTCCCTTTTGCACCACTCACAAAGGGGTTGAGCCCAGAGCTTTCCTGCTCTGAAGGTTTAAAACGGAGTTGAAGTCAATCCTGTTCTACTCTGTGTACAACATTAAGAAAGGGGTGGGCCTTTAGTTCAGTTTTGCTCTGTAAATCACCTAATATGGGGAGGGCTGAGTCGTCCAGCCGAATGAGTTGGGTTAACACCAGCGCCGCAGATCGATGTTCCCACTATCCAAACGTCGGGCTAATCCCAGTTCTGCTCCCTTAACTAAAAGGGAGGGGCAGACCCAAGTTCTGCTCTCTACGTCACCAAAGGAGGTTGGAGCCATTTTGAACCCTGCGACCCTAGTGTTTTCCCTCTTTTCCTAGCTCTTCGCCGTCTTTCCCGATGTCGGCCAATCAGGGGAAAAGGAAAAGGCCCAATCAGCAGAAAGTCCACAGCTGAAGGACCCGGATGAAGCGAGCCTAGGACTTTGAAGTGCAAGCCTCGCCAATTGTAGAGCAGTCACCATGGCGACAAGATAGGGGTGAAGAGGTGGAACAAGAGAAGGTTAAACCCTCACAGGATTGGCCCACCCCCGTCCCGCCGCGTGCTGCGCAGGCGCGTTTTACCTAACCACCATTTTCCGTCAAGTTTTAGCCAATGAGTTGATTTGGAGCCATACGCTCCAAAGTCCAATAGCAATCCGGACATTCTCTAAAAGAGGAAGCGAAGGAAAGAAAGGGGCTTATAGTGGGCGAGGTCTATAGGTAGTCCCGAGCAAATTGCTTATGGCTTTGGTTATGACTGACAACTACTCAGACGAATAAAGCCCTCCTTGGCCAGGCGACAGCGTGTAGCGAGTTATTACCAATCCCTTGGCATTGCACATTGACTTAGACCGTATCAGCCAATAGCCATTGTGCGAAGGCAGGACTGCACTAACCTTTTCCCGCCCCTACCCTTTGGGCCAATCCTTTCTTTTGAATTCTTTGTGACTGGCAGGCATTCAGACCAATAGTGATTAGGAAACCTTGAAGCCTGCCCAACGATCGTGGGCAGGAGGTGGTTTCTGGTTTGTTGGGGCGTGTGTATGTGTATTTGGGGGGACTGAAGGGTACGTGGGGCGAAACAAAACCGGCCATGGCAGCAGCGGAGGAGGAGGACGGGGGCCCCGAAGGGCCAAATCGCGAGCGGGGCGGGGCGGGCGCGACCTTCGAATGTAATATATGTTTGGAGACTGCTCGGGAAGCTGTGGTCAGTGTGTGTGGCCACCTGTACTGGTGAGAATCGAGGAGGGGGGCGGGAGGTGGTGGGTCTCGCTTATATACTGGAGAGGCTAGGAGCGAATAATCATACAGTCATACAGATAATCGGAGGGCACGTTCCCATAGGTGAAGCCCGACAGGAGACATAAGACTTTGCTGGTATGTGTGGGTGGGAGTATAACGGTCGAGATCTGTGGAAAGAAAGGTCTTAGGAACCAGGAGCTGAGGCACGTGATGTGCTGAGAAGAGAAGGTGGGGCGGGGAGTGGCAGGACAATGTGAGACCCGAGCCACCTTACCCCAGAGAAGTGAGGGGTCTTAGCTGTGCAGGTGGAAACAAGTGAGACACAAAGGTTAAGGGAGGCACGCATCAGTTGAGTCGGGGAGAACCAGGAAATATGGATCACATTCAGATGAGATCTGGGAGGGGGCTGGTATAAGGGCACTGTGGAGAGGCAGACTTGAAAGGTTAAAGGGTCATAAAGATAGGGACATTATTGAGCTTGAAAGTGAGTAATGGGGGAATGTGCTAGTAAAGGGGTTTGGTTTGGAGTGATGGGGTTGGGGTTGAAAAGAGGAGACCCAGAAAGAGGTGGCTGAAGGAAATTAGAAATTAACTTGAAAGGCAGAAAAGAGAGGGCACGAAAATTTGTATGTGTTTGTTGGGGAGAGGAGAAAGGAGAGGGTTGAGTGTGTTGAGGATGGACAGAGCTTTAGGTGTTGGAAGATCAGACAAGCAGGAAGGCTAACTAAGTTGGCTGGCATGGTAGAGGTTGCAGAAAATCTGAAAAGCAACAGCAGGTTGCTTGGGAAGAGGGGTTAGATGGGATTCTGCGAAGTCTAGGGTCTGTGTCTCTCTTTTCTGTAGCTAGTTTGACCTTTTTTTTTTTTTCTCCCCCATCCAGTTGGCCATGTCTTCATCAGGTGCGTACTCAGGAGATGAAGAGGGAAATGGGGAGGTCTGAGGAGCTGTAAGACCCTCTTGTATACTGGAAACCACCTTTTTTCTCCCCAGTGGCTGGAGACACGGCCAGAACGGCAAGAGTGTCCAGTATGTAAAGCTGGGATCAGCAGAGAGAAGGTTGTCCCGCTTTATGGGCGAGGGAGCCAGAAGCCCCAGGATCCCAGGTGAGAGACTGGAGGTGTTGCTTAGGGAAGATTGAAGGCTTCTGCCCTTGGAAAACGGTGTGGAAGATGGGAGGAGAAAAATCCCTGTTAACTTTCTCTCTCCACTTCCTCAGATTAAAAACTCCACCCCGCCCCCAGGGCCAGAGACCAGCTCCGGAGAGCAGAGGGGTGAGTCTTCTTGTCCAGTTGTGTCCCTTCCTTGACAGATTTGCCGGCTTCCCGTCTGACTTTTTCTGCCTCCCTAGGGATTCCAGCCATTTGGTGATACCGGGGGCTTCCACTTCTCATTTGGTGTTGGTGCTTTTCCCTTTGGCTTTTTCACCACCGTCTTCAATGCCCATGAGCCTTTCCGCCGGGGTACAGGTAAGAGTCACACTCAGCTCCCATCAGGGAGCCCTGTGAATCCCCTCAGGCCCCCTCCCAGCCTAGGAGCATATGCTTCCACAGCTTTCCTCTCTCCCACAGGTGTGGATCTGGGACAGGGTCACCCAGCCTCCAGCTGGCAGGATTCCCTCTTCCTGTTTCTCGCCATCTTCTTCTTTTTTTGGCTGCTCAGTATTTGAGCTATGTCTGCTTCCTGCCCACCTCCAGCCAGAGAAGAATCAGTATTGAGGGTCCCTGCTGACCCTTCCGTACTCCTGGACCCCCTTGACCCCTCTATTTCTGTTGGCTAAGGCCAGCCCTGGACATTGTCCAGGAAGGCCTGGGGAGGAGGAGTGAAGTCTGTGCATAGATGGGAGAGCCTTCTGCTCAGAGGCTCACTCAGTAACGTTGTTTAATTCTCTGCCCTGGGGAAGGAGGATGGATTGAGAGAATGTCTTTCTCCTCTCCTAAGTCTTTGCTTTCCCTGATTTCTTGATTTGATCTTCAAAGGTGGGCAAAGTTCCCTCTGACTCTTCCCCCACTCCCCATCTTACTGATTTAATTTAATTTTTCACTCCCCAGAGTCTAATATGGATTCTGACTCTTAAGTGCTTCCGCCCCCTCACTACCTCCTTTAATACAAATTCAATAAAAAAGGTGAAATATATTGATGGGATCTCTTCCCAAGTTCGCCCCCACCCCCGACAGAAGCATCTTCTCCCCAACTTGAGTAGATGTTTGGTATAGTATGGTGAAGTATGGGGGTGAGTCCCTTTCCTTCAGGGCCCTCAAGGGTATAGGGGTGAGGTTGTGTCTCATACACACACACAGACACACAAGAGCAAGATGTGTCAGGTGTTTAATCATCATTGTGGGGGGCTCTGGTTGTAGAAGAAAGCTTGGCAAGGTGGGGTTATACAGGAGAGAGATTATACAGGAGAGAGTTGGTCTGAGGCCAGAACAGTTCAAGGGAAAAAGAAAAGGGAGCTGATGGATGGGATCTGTCTGTGGGCCCCTCAAGGCCCTCCAGTACTACTCTCGCCTGCCTCAGGTTCCTCCGACTGATTCAGTTCTGCACGCTCCTCCTCTTCCTCCTGGTTTTCTGGGGCCTTCCTGAGGAGAAAGATTGGGGGGAATGCGGCACGTTGTCGTTCCACCCCCCGACCCCTCTTCGCTTGCTGCCTGGAAGCCCTAGGTCTGAGGGGTCTGGCTTTCTCCACTCACCTCTCCTCTCCTCGGCGTTGCCGCCTTTGCCACAAGATGACCCCAATGAGCAGGGCGGCTGTCCCCAGGCCTCCCAGGATCCCCAGGGCCAGGGCTAGAGTTCCCAGCCCTGATCCTCCCACAGAGCCTGTACGGAGACAGGGAAAATTGAGAGCACAGCCACCACCACTCACCATTCCTTTCTTGTTGACCATCCCCCCAGTCACATGTGTTGGGGGCTATCTTCTGCTTCCCTGACTTTATCAAACCCCTCACCTGCAGTTGGCCCCTCCTCGCCTGGTTCTGGAAGACAAAGTTGGATCCAGTCAGAAAGGAAGACTTCGGGTTGAGAGAGGGTTATTTAGTGGGAGCCCCAGTGGAGTCTTTCCCTTTCTTTTTTTTTTTGAGATGGAGTTTCACTTTTGTTGCCCAGGCTGGCATGCAATGGTGCGATCTTGGCTCATCGCAATCTATGCCTCCTGGGTTCAAGCAATTCTCCTGCCTCAGCCTCTCAAGTAGCTGGCCTCCCAGGTAGCTGGGATTACAGGCATGTGCCACCATGCCTGGCTAATTTTGTATTTTTAGTAGAAATGGGGTTTCTCCATGTTGGTCAGGCTGGTCTCGAACTCCCTACCTCAGGTGATCTGCCCGCCTCAGCCTCCCAAAGTGTTGGGATTACAGGCGTGAGCCACCGTGCCCAGCCGTCTGTTCCTTTTTTTAGCTCAGAGGGAAGAAGGGAGAGGCTTGGCTGCTCTCTTGGCAGAATTTGGGTGGGGCAGGGGAGGCTTGGGTGTGGGTGCATGGAGGGAGAGGTGGGGTGGCTGTTAGGGATAAGGCCAGAATGGGGCAGGAAATTAGAGCCTGTGCTGTCCTGCACCCTAGTCCCAGGGTCTGTAGGGCTTGGGGAGAGGTCTCACCGATGATGCTGATGCTGACAGCACGGCTTTCCTGGGGCCCGTGGCTGGAATGGGTGGCCACACAGCTGTAGGTTCCCTGGTCCTGAGGCCCTATCTCAGGGAGGATCAGCACAGGGCTGGGGGGAAGGGGCAAGGGCACACCCTGGTGGGGGAAGGGGAGAGGAGACTATTTCAAAACCCTTGTCTTTTTGTCTCCATATCTTCAGATACCCTCTCTTCCTCCTCAGCTCCTAGCCTGCCTTTCCCTCGTTAGCCCTCTGCCCTCCCTGTTGCTAGTTATGGTTCACCCTACCTCCCAGCCCCTCTCTCCAGGTCACTCACATCCTTCATCCAGTGGATTTGAGGAGAGGGCTGGGCAGGGACTTCACAGGTCAGGGTTACGGTTCCACCAGGAGCTACTGCTCCACCTTCTGGCTCCACCACCAATTGGACCTCCTCCAGAGGCACAGGCTCTGGGAGTTGGAAGGGTTTTGAGGTGGAGAGTTACACTTGTGAGTGATCCCAGTGGCCATGGGCTTGACTCCCTCTTTCCCTAAGGGTCAGACTTCCAGAACGTGCTCACGTGAGCTTGGGGCCCTCCCCACCTATGCTCACCCCAGACACGGGGCTGGATGGGGGCTGTGCGCAAGGCCCGGTGTCGGGGAAGGCCTGGGCTGAAGCTACAGGAGAAGGTGGGACGGGGATCTCCTCCCCGGGCTGGGGTCACCATTAGCTCCGACTGCAGTGTGAAGAGCCCTGTCTCAGGGTGTCTCCTGGTCTGTTCCTTCACAGATACTCCTATGATGGGAGGATAAGACAAATTATCCCAGGGTGGGTGTGGGAGTGAGATCAGGGAGAAGGCAGCTTGGGGGGCACCTTAGGACTCACCCTTCTCATTAGGCACCAGGGGCTTCCCATCCAAGTGCCAGCTAAGAGTCCCTGCAGGGTAGCTTCCCTCTGACACACATGTCCCCACCTGGGGAAAGAGTGGTGACCTCAGAATCCTTTGAAAATGAGAGATGCCACACACCCACACCCACACACACTCGCCTCCTGTTCACAGGGCCGTTTTCTACTTCTCCTGCTTTCTTCCACTACCTTATTGGGAACACCAGCCGTGAGTTCAGAGGCAGAATCTACAATTTCTGGCTTCCCAGGAATCTCTGAAGGAGGAAAAATCCAGTCAGAGGCTGTAATTGTGAAGGTTCTCAAACTCTGTGTGTGGAAATGAGGCCAGTGGAAGTCAGAGGCCCTCATGGGCCAAGGCTGGGGTTGAAGGCTTTTTCTTAGGTAAGAGGGAGGCCTTGGAGAAGACCCTGGAATTCTTACGGTAGACACGGACTCGGTAGTTGGACTTGGTCTCCTTTCCATTCCTGTTCATTGCCTGGCACCGGAAAATCCCCTCATCCTGGATCCCGACAGCCGGAAGGAAGAGGGAGCTGTTGGGAAGGACACGAGCCACACTGTCCCAGGGGCCTCCTCCCTGGGGAGACAGGACCTTCCAAGCTTCTGTCCGGCCTGTGTTCTAGAAGCAGAGAAGCAGGGCCTAAACAGTGCAAGGCCTTTGGGAAAGGACTGTGAGGCAGAGTGACGGGGATCCAAATCATTGCTGGTCTCCCTGGAAGTTGGGAGGCTGCAACAGGAGCCCCGCTTACCAGTTTCCATTCCAGCCGCTGGGGTGGTTTCTTGGGGGCCCCCTTACACTTCAGCACCAGTGGCTCGCCAATCCGGGCTGTGATGTTTTGAGCACCTACTACTGCCCCTGGGAGATAGCACCATGGTAGAGGGGTAGGAAGGGAATGAGGGCTAACAAAATTTGGACAGGGTGGGTGAGGGACCTTGAAAGGCACTTCCTCGGGTTCTGGGAAAAGTTCTAGGACGACTGGGGTGTGGGGTTAAAGTGCTTTCTGCAGGGAGGGTCAGTGGGGTTGAGGGAGTGGCTCACCCCACAGACTGAGGACCAGCACCCAGGCTCCAACTGCTGTTCCGGCTGCCATCCTGCTTCCTTCCAGGGTCCTGGCTCTGTCTGCCCCTCTCCCTGCTGTGGCCTCCGCCCTAGGTGGGGCCTGCACCCTCTCTCCAGCCCCCATCTTTCAGTCGTCTTGTCACAGGGAATGCTAGGAATTCATGCCTTTGGGACAAGAGTCCTTCAGGTACTAGAGAAATAATTATCACCCCACCCCTGGGTACTACCAGCCTCTGGGTACAGTCACTTCCCTGGGGGATGGGGAGTGTACCCTCTAGGGTCTCATTCCCTCAGAGCCCCCGATCCTATTTATTCCATCAGTCCATCAGGGCTGCCTGGTGACCCACTGGAGCCCCATCTTGATTGCGCAAAGTTGCATCAATAGGGTTCAGGCCAGACTGTTGTCTGCAAGGGTGCAATTGGGCCTGCATCATGAAGGCAAGGCTGGGGAACAGGAGAGAAACCTGTTTGGAACTTCGTGAAAGAAAATCATTTTTTTTCTGGGGTTTCTCATGTTTTTTGAAAAAAATTCTCAACTAAACCCAGGGAAAAAAGAAATTTCTTTATTTAAAACTGCATTTTGATTTTTTTCTGTGAAACTACACAAGTTTACAAGTGAGGAGAGAACTGCCCCCGGCCCATGCCTCCCACCCCCCCACCCATCACACTTCCAACCTGTCCCCAGTCCTGCCCGGATCTTTAATGGGAGGGGTTCCCCACTCTGACAGTCTTGTAAAATCCTGAGAATGTCTGAGGGGATCAGATGGTAGCTAGTTCAGGGCTGAGGATGGGACAGTGTTGATGTTACTTTTCCCCCACATCTGGCTTTTTGCAACCTCCTCCCTCTCCCTACCCCTTGATTTTGGTGTGACAAAAAGATACCTCATTTATGGGGAAATTGAGGAAGATACATATACAAGCACCCCAACCCATATTTAACATATTTGGCAATAACTCCCTTCCCATTCTTCCCCCTCCAATTTTCAAATAGTAGTTTTTTAAAAAATTAAAGACATGTCACTCACAGGGGAAGATGGCATCTTCAATTTCCTCAAAATTACTGAGTCCAGCCCTGCCCAAGGGTTGTGGGAAGAAGGGGGATGAGAGGCCAGCAGGGCAAGCCCTTCACTGCCTCCACATCAAATGCGGCAGAAACCTGCCTGCATGAACAAAGAACACCTAAGGGATTTTAGGGGGCAAAGCTTGGTGCCCTGTAAAATTTACTTCCTGATGGACAGGCCTGGAGCCAGGGGGGCCTCTTTACCAGTTCTGTTTGTCCCCCTTTCTCTTACCAGAACCCCTTTGGCTATCACCCCTAATATGGGAAAGTAAGAAATAAAAAAAAAAGACAAGAAATCAACATATTTATAAAAAAAAAAACAAGCTACTTCCCCAAACTAAATTAAAAATTAAGAACCACCACCACCACCACCACCACCAACAACAAAAACAACAACAACAACAAAAAAAACAGATGGATCCCAGGGTTTCTTTTTCTTTCTTTAAAAAAAAAAAAGTTCAACCCCAAAGCCCAGTCAATAATTCCCTAAAGTAGCAGAAACTCCCTCCGAGGTAGATATCTGAGTCAGACACTCTCGTCCACCGAGCGATTCTATTGGTTTAAGATGAGCTGCGTATGAGGTAAGTAAGCCGTCCGGAGGGGCGGGGGTGGGGATGCATGGGGGCGTGGCCCATGTCCTCTGTCCAGAAGTCATGTCCCCATTTTTGGCATCTCTGATTGGGCAGGGCTGGCGTCTCCACAGATTCCAGAGCATACAAGTGGGGTGGGGAAGGGAAAGTGGGGGAGCCCAGGAGAGAAACAGAATAGTTGCAAGTGGGAGTATGTGTGTGTGAGGTGTGGGAGAGGGAGAGAGAAAGACAGAGGAGAAAAAGGGGTCTGAGAAATAGGTTTCTCGGTATGTGTATGTTTCTGTGTAAGAAAGAAAGCGAGAGAGGAAAAAGATGGAAAAAAGGGAGAGACAGACCCCACACTCCCCTTAGAGGCCCCATTCTTCCTGCCATGTAATTAGCACCCCCAGCACAGAGAGTCTCGTTAGGGAGGGGATGACCCCATTGGCCCTTCTCTGTCTTGTGCTTCTCCTGTATTGGGGTTTGTCCTCTGGAAGCCTGCGTCCTCTTCAAGTCGCCTTGTGAGAGCCCCCACCCCTGTGACCCTGAGGGGCAAGATCAGTTGGAGGTATCAGAGTGAACACTCCCTGGTCCCTCCGTTGGGGATGTCACTGAAGAGGGGGTCACAGCCTCTTGCCAGCTGCCATTTGCCTGAAAGGAGAGACAGAGTACAGAAAACAGAGAAAGCCCTGGGAACCCTGTGTGGGCACAACATTACTAGGGAAAATGCCCCTCTGTCCTGTGAGAACTGGACAGAGAGGAGCTTCAGGATCCACTCACCCTCATTTCCCGTGGGCTGTACATCTGGCCTCCCCCGAGGTTATCCCCATAGCCCCCTGGCCCCATCGAGTGTCGGAGTGATTCCACCTGCAGGCAGCAGAGGAAGGTATGACAGTGAAGAGAAGCCTCAGAGGAAAGAGGTCTTGTATCCTAAAGTAGAGGAAATGGAGTTGGGGAAAGCCCTATTCGAGAGGAGATGGGCATCTGACCTGGGAAGCAGAATAGGAATCTCCGTTGAGCCCAGGCATCCCCAGAAACATGTCTCCAGATCCTGAGAGATTGAAAGAGCCGCCAGAGCCTTGTGGGGGCAGAGAGGGAAGAGTGTAATAGAGCCCGTGATGGTAGAGGATGAACCACAACTCTCAACTCTTGTGGGGACATGCTACTATACTCCAATTATCCACAAAATAACATTCCAACACACAGAAAGAGCAGGCTGTTCCTTGGCCACCCGTGGGAAGAAAGGCAGAACTAAGATCACTGGAATGGCCTCTGTCCCCTGACATCTCCAGCCTATCTCAGCTCGGTCCCTCTCACCCCAAAAGGCCCCCTCTCTGCTATGATCCTGCCTAGATAGGAAGTGGGAACAAAAGCAGGAAGTGTGCAAAACAGTCAGCCGGGGTGACAGTGGGATCCACCTGCAGAGGAAGGGGGTGTCGGGGAGCTGGTGCGGCTGTGGCCCCCCTGGGTGACTGACACGGCGGTCTTGACAGCATAGATGTTTGCCTCCTCTTGGAACTTTCCGATGTTTTTCTTATAGCGAATCCTCTTGTTGCCAAACCAGTTGGAGACCTGTGGGGCAGAAAGGAGGGTCAGGTAGAAACATTTGCCTCTGAAGTCCTTCACTGAATAAGATGTGAGTGACAGCATTTTTTTTTTTTTTGCTTCCTGGTCTCACTATGCTGTTGCCCAGGCTGGTCTCCAATTCAAGTGATCCTCCCACTTCAGCCTCCCTAGTAGCTGGGATTACAGGAACACACCACTGCACCTAGCTGAGATGCGTGCACTTTGCCTGACAACTCCTCCCGCAACCTCCATAATACCTGAGACACGGTGATGCCACACTTCTTGGCAAGCTCCTCCTTGGCCTCCTCACTAGGATATGGGTTACTCAGGTGGGAGTAGAAATACTCATTTAGGACCTCAGTGGCCTGTTTGCTGAAGTTACGGCGCTTTCGTCTACAGAGGAGGGAGAAGAGCAGTGAGGAGGATGTTGATGTCCTGGCAGGGCTGTCACATGGCATGACCCCAGAGTCACCATTGTCATGGAGTACCATGTTGTGCAGCATGGCAGCTCAGGGTCTTGGAGAGGAATGGGAAGGAGCCCAGTGCTGGGGGCCAGCCTGGGGTCCCTGGGCCCACCTGGCATCCAGGAAACGGGAGCGCAGGATCATCACAGCCTCGCAGGTGCTCTGCTTCAGCTGCATCTGGATGGCGCTGAACTTTCGATGGATGATGCTCACCATGCGTTCCATCTCTTTGGGGGCCACGGGCCTGGTGCGGCTCTGCTCCCTCAGCAGGTTCATGACATGGGTCGTGAACTCATTACATGCCTGTAGTGGGGGCCAGTGGGCTGGTGAGGAGGAGCCCTTTGACCATGGGATTCCCCTGCAAGAGCCCTTCCCTCCACCCACCCAAGCCTCCTCTCCTTACCTGCTCATACTTCTCCAGCTCCGAGTGGTATATGTGACGGATCTGGGCAAGTTTGCTGCGATAGTCCGAGTGTTCGATGGAGTTGTCAGGGGACACACCACCACCAGAGGCTGCAGCGGCTGCAGCTGCTGCTGCTGAGCCGCCCCCTTTCTCGGGCCCAGCCACACCCTCTGCCAGAAGCATGTTGTCCAAGCGCATCAGCTGTGGGTCCACCGGCTCCTCCTCCTGGGAGCTCCGAATGCTGAGGCCTAGCATGCAGGCGAGTGGACTTAGGGACCCAGAGACCCCAATACCCAGTGCTCAGTCCTCCTGGTGCTTCCTGGAGAGCCAAGTTCCCAGGCTTTGGTTCCTTCCCCAGTCCCCCTGACTCCTTACTTTCCTCAGGGCCCCAAGTTGTCACACTCTAGCCCTATAATGAACAGGGTTCTGTTCCCAGAGTTGAGCAATCCGGGGGGGGCCCACATACCAGTTTTCTCCTTGATTTCACACAGGACGCTAAAGAGAGCAGGCTTCATTCGGTGGCAGTTTAGGGCGTGTTTCCTTGGGAGGAGTGGGAGTGGGGAAAGAGAAAAGTTGAGGAGCTAGAGAAACAGAGCAGGGGGCCTGAGAACAAGGAGGGAGGAGGGTCAGTCTGCGGAGGGAGGAAGCGGATTGGGGGTGGAATGAGTTGGGGGTGGAATGAGGAGTTCTTGGGAAAAGATCAGCTCCCAGAGCATGGGGAAGCTCCTCAGCTTCAGGGAGACACAGGGAAGATGCAGGCAGCAGGTTAAAGGCTGCGGGCTTTGGGAGATGGTCTAGAAAGGTAGGAGGAGGAATCTGGGAGTGGATGGAGAAAGGAAAGTGACTTGGTAGGTTTCAGAGGGAGAGAGACAGAGGCTGGGGTTGAGAAGAGTCAGAGTTTGAGGTGGCAGAGTGGGGCTGGGGGTGCCGAGCTAACTGGGGAGATCAGTGTAGGGTGTGTGAAGGGGTCCTGGGGCTGAGCAGGTGGGAGGCTTTGATGCACCTAGTGTCTGGCTGAGCAGTGGAGAGGAGCTTTAGGGGCTCTGGAGAGGGTGTGGAGGTCTCCACATCTGGAGAGAATGAGGGGGCTGGGTGGAGAGTTAGGGGAGAAGATAACGTAGCCCAAGAACAGTTTCTTAGTCTGGGAGCCAGAGGGGGCTCCCGGGGATGGGGCTGTTCCAGGAGACTGCAGGGGTCGGCAAAAGGTTAGGAGTGGGGAGCCGGGCCACCGGGGGTTCCCTCTGTGAAGGTTTCAGGGCCTGGGGGTGAAGGGAGGTTTGAGAGGGATCACTTTTCTATGGGCTCCCAGGAATAAGGAGAGAAGAGAGCTGTTGGATCCTGGAGAGGGCCCTGGAGTTGGGGGGGGCTCCCAGAAGATTCAGAACATGTGAACGGGGTTTGCTGGGTCTGTGTGGGGTCCCGGAGTGGGGGCACTCACTTGGCCTGGGCCTCGTCCAGGCTCTGGTCGGTGATGGTCATTATCTGCTGCAGAATGTCCCCGATGTCTTGCTTCCCTCGGCCTCCCGGGACCCCCCCGCTACCCCCACCGGGGTCTCCGCCACCGGGAGGCTCGCCAGGGCCCCCAGGCTCCCCACTCACCAATCCCAGGCCCCCCCGGCCCCCGCCTGGAGGGGGCGGCCCCAGTAGCCGTTCGTCCATAGCTGGGGGGGGGCCCTGAGGCCCCCTCCCTGCTCCGCCCCTCCCCCCGCCTGGTTACTTCTCCCCCCAAACTCGCTGGGGCCGCTGCTCCCTCCGCCCCAACCCCCGCCCGTCTGCCCCCGGCTCCCGGCTCCCCCGGGGGTTCACCCCGGCACTGAAGGGAGACCTGGGATACCGGCTGGGCCCCCCACAGGAGACCCCGGCCCCCGGCGGCGGAGAAAATGGAGCCGGAGAGAGAGAGGAGGCCCAAGCGGGGGTGTGTGTGAGAGAGAGGGAGGAGGGAGGAGGGAGAAGGGGGGGGAGCGAGGGAGGGAGGCTGGGGGAGGGGAGCCGGAGAGGAAGAGGAGGGGAGAAGAGAGGAGGAACAGGGAGGAGCTGGGGGCGGAGAGAGAGACACAGAAACAGAGGAACTGAGACCTAGTGGAGGAGGGGAGAGGGAAGAGGGGATGAGGGGAGGAGACGGGCCATCTGAAAGATATGGGAAAGCCCCCTGGCTGGACTTCCGCGGCCTAGGAGTGGGGCTGTGTTGGCGGCTGGGGGCGTCTGTCACCTGGGTCCTGAATCAGGGATCTAAGCGATGTGGACTCAGGCCGCTGGAATGCCTGGGTTCACCGGCAGCTCAGTTCATATTTCTTGTTCTAATGACTCCCCTCCCTGTTCTACTTAATTAAAACCGAAGAGGGGGGCTGGGGGAGATAATTAGGGAGGTCTCCAGCCGCTGCTTAATGAGCCAGTAATTAACCAGCCGGGGAGGGGAGCTGGCCTCTGGCCAGACTGGGGAGAGAAAAGGCCTCTGGCCTCACCTTCCTACCTTTCACCCCGCCTGGGCCCCCCAGATACCAGTCTGCAGTCCAGAGGGGAATTATATTTATTCACACAACCAAAACATCAGACAGACTCAGCAGCAGTGGGGAGGGAGGGTGGGCAGGGCTGAAGGTCCATTCACAGCCCGTAAACCCCTCAGTCTCAGGGATCGGGGGTGCTGGTAGTGGGACTGGGAGAATAGTCTTAATCTCTCAGGTGCCCACCCACCTTCCCTTCTTACTGGGAGGAAGGGTAGAGCTGTCTCTCAGGTTATAACCTCTCAGGTGGAGGCCTGAGCCCTCAGACCCTACTGCCTAGTAGCTTGACAACTGGTGGTGTCCCCACAAGTTAGGGAAAAGACTCCCAGCCACTCCTTGAGATGGGTGCCTGGGATCCCCCTTACTGCCTCAAGCTCCCATGGACCTGTGGGCGGGGAGTTAAATCCCTGTTCCATCTCGCCTGTTCCCAGAGTTTGAGGACTTTCACCCTGTCCAGTTCCCAGGGAAGGTGATGTGGGAGATGAATATTGAGATTTGTGCCGTGTCTTTCAGTCTCTGGTACCCCTGCCAAGCAAGAGTTGAGGGCATGCAATGGGCTGCCCAGCTTTGAGACCAGTGGCAAGGAAGGGCTGGTTGGGGCTCAAGTCTCAGCAGGTGTGTGTGGGGGGCCGGGACCTTTGCTCCTCCATTCGACCCCCACCCTGAACTCTCAGCAGCAACTCCAGGAGCTCTTGCCCCCCTGGAGGGAGGGGAGGCTCTGACCGCTGGGCTTCCATCCGCTGGCACTGGAGGAGTGGAGGGAGAGGGAGAGCTTTGGTGAGGGTCTGAGAGGAGGAGGTTCTTGAGAGGATCAAGGGTTGGTATGGGGAGGCATATAGGAAACCTGTGAAGGCGATGGGGTGCCTAGGGAGAAACAGGAGTAGAGCCCCAAAGAGAACAGGGGCCAAGAGACCAGGAGGCCTGGGTTTGCCTCCTGGGGGGATGTCTTACCTGGTGACTGAGGATAGTGCTGTAAAGCTGTTCTCTGTCCTCGAGAGGACGGAGTGGGGCAGGGGCTAGGCTTGAGGGGTTTTGGGGGGTGTAGAAGGTGGCCCTCTGCTCCTCCAGGCGGCGGGACTGGGCTTCAGCCACCAGGTCCAGAAGGAGTTCAGTCTGCAGGGAGAGCAGGGAGGCCGAGCGGGGTCCCAGGGCTGGGGAGAGGGGTGTGGAGGGCTCAGAGACCCAGAGAGGTTGGCAGACAGGAGCCGTGGGGGAGTGTGGACAGGGTGACGTGATTAGGGACTTTGGATCAGAGGAGAGGGGGTGCAATGGGGAATCCCAAGGGGAGTCTGGAGGAGGTGGGGAGAGGGCCCACAATGGAGTGGGCCTTGGTAATGGGGTCAGGATGTGGGCACTAGGGTCGGGGCTCTCCCTGGGTGGGTAGGGGTACCTGTGTGGCGGGTCCCTGGAGGAGGAGGGGATGGAGGAGCAGATCGCCAAGGCCGAGTGGTGGAGTTTGGAGGGGGCCAGCCTTCCTCATCCTGAGGGGGGCCCTGATGCCAAAATATGTCCATTCTAGTCAAGCAGTGGTGGTTGAAGCGGGAGGAGTGGACAGGGGGCTAGGCCAGTGGCCCGTTTCCTCTCTGTGTGTCTCTGTTCCTGCCTCAGTTTGCCCAAGCCTTTCAAGGCCCCTGTGTCCCTACATTTCTGCCCCAGGTCCTCTCACCTCCCTTCTTTCCCAGTGTCAGCCTCCCCAACCCCGTGCCCAGCTCACCTGCTCACCATCCTCTTCTTCCTGGGGTCTCTCAGCCTCCATCCCCTAGAGGGGAGAAACTGGTGGGGGAGGGGTGGCTGGGATTTGGGAGGAGGGCTGGAACCTTGGGTTCCTGAGGGGAGTGGGGGCTGGAAGGGGTGGGGGTGAGCTGGGGGCTGGATGCCTGGGTACTGAGCAGGAAGCTGGGTTCCTGGTCAGCCCCCCCACGGGCCCCGCCCATCCCTGTCAACTTCCTCCATTCTCTTCCCACCCAAACAGCTTGTTCAGTCTCTCTCGCCCCAGGGCAGCACTGAGACTGGGAAAAACTCCTCCAGCTGCAGGAGTGGAGGGGGCTCATGGTGGGGAAGGACTCCTGGCGGTCTCATCTCCAGAGCCTCAGTAGTCCCCTAATCCCTGGCTCTGCTCCCTCCACCCCACCTCCTCTTCTGCTCTTTCTGTCAACACAGGAACTAGCTACACAGGAAGTGGTTTCACTCCTCAGAATCCCCCTCCCCCCAGCCAGGTCCCTTCCCTCCCTAAGATAGACCCTGGTGTAGGATTTGGCCCTCCCGATCTTCCCTCTTACTTACCGGGACTGGGAGGGGCATGGTTCCAGTGGGAAGTGGAGGATTCAGATCCAGGGATGTGGAGCTCTCAAATATATACATAAAACCCTAGCACCGGGTCCAACACATAGTAAGTATTCAATATATATGTATTGAATAATCATCCCTGACCTCTAGGTATTTAAAATCTATTCAGGAGATGGCCGGCTGCGGTGGCTCACACCTGTAATCCTAGCACTTTGGGAGGCTGAGGCGGGTGGATTGCCTGAGCTCAGGAGTTGGAGACCAGCCTGGGGAACATGGTGAAACCCCATCTTTACTAAAATACAAAAAATTAGCTGGGCGTGGCCACATGCGCCTGTAATCCCAGCTACTCAGGAGGTTGAGGCAGGAGAATTGCTTGAACCCGGGAGGCGGAGGTTGCGGTGAACTGAGATTGTGCCACTGCGCTCCAGCCTAGGTGACAGAGCGAGACTCCGTCTCCAAAATAAAATAAAATAAAAAATACACTCTATTCAGGAGACAAGATGTGTACCAAATAGAGTACGGGAAGGGTTCATTTTGGAAACTTATAGTTTAGTGCAGACAAGGGGCAGGGGAAAGTTTATTTTGGGCATAAGAGATATAGATATGGAACAATGAGAGGCTGAGGTAGGAAGATTGCTTGAGCCCAGGAGGTTGTGGCTGCAGTGAGCCATTTGTGCCACTGCACTCCAGGCTGGGCAACAGAGCAATACCCTGTTTCAGAAAAAGAAAGAAATGAAATGAAATTGAAAAGGGAGAGGACTACCTCTCTGGCTTGGTCTTTGATCAATGCTAATCAGGCTGGTTGGCATCAAGGAAGGAGCAGGGCAGACAACCATTTGGTACCTCTAAATGGCAACCTGTCATGTTAGGGAGTTTATAGCTGAGTGATTTGGAATGTGAAATGTGATGAAGAGATCTGGTCCTGCCGCTTATTCCTTGCAATCTTGGGCAGATCTCTGTGCCTCAATTTCTGAGTGAAATAGGGTTTTAATAGCACCTACTTCATAGGGTTGATGTATTAATAATGTAATGAAGCACTTGATGCATAGTGAATACTTAATAAACTGTAGATATTATTGGCTTTCAAAATGCCTCATGACTCCATGTTTCAAACCTAGCAACATATTGCTGCAAGGTGGACAAAGTTTCAAGATACTCTCTCCATCTACTTGACTTGTGGCCTTAGGAATCTCCTAAGTGGCCATAAGTAAAAGCCCTAGGATGAGGGACAAAGTGTGTGCATCATCTAGTGCAGTGGTCTCCTACCTTTTTGGCACCAGGGAAGAGTTTCGTGGAAGACAATTATTCCATGGTCGGTGGCGACGGAGGGCTGGTTTCAGGATGAAACTGTTCCACCCCAGATCATTAGGCATTAGATTCCCGTAAGAAGCGAGAAACTTAGATCCCTTGCATGCACAGTTCACAATAGGGTTCGAGTTCCTATGAGAATTTAATGCTTATGCTGATCTGACAGGAGGTGGAGCTTGGGCAGTAATGCTTGCTCACCTCCTGCTGTGTGGCCCAGTTCCTAAGAGGCCATGGACCAGTACCAGTCTGTGGCCCAAGGGTTGGGGACCCCTGACCTAGTGTGTGCGGTTTCTCCCTTGGCTACTAGATTCTTGCTTTCAGATAATACCCTAAATTATCATAGGGCCCCTAAATATACTTATTCTTGCTTTTAAACTATACTTACATCCTCCATCCAATCCAAATGCTGAGCCAAAAGCACAAAATGCTGACATTATGCAGTCACTCCCATCTTTTTTCCCATTCTTCTCCCCAATTCCTCCAAAAAAAGGTAACACTTCAAATCAGCTTTATTATGGGTGACAGATTTAGGGTTCTTAAATAGCGATAGCAGTGGCTAGAAGAAGCGCTTCATCCCCACAGTGGAGTTCTTTGTTGTGAGGGGAGGGAATGCAAGGAGTCATCAGCGGGGGTGGCCCTTGGCCACTTTTCAGCACCTACACAGTGCCTGGCACATAGTAGGTGCCCAATAAATATTTGTCAGCCATTTGTGGGCAGTGGGGACAATGGATCATAGGGGCACCCTTTGGAAACCATATATAGGAAAGAACATCTTACATCCCATATGCCTGCAATTCTTGGTTCCAACTTAGGGGTATTTCCACTCCACTCTGCCCTCCTGTGGCCTGTCTTATTTTCTGGAGGAGGACTGGGCCTGCCTCATCCTAGCATCTTAAACCCTCTTTCCAGAGCTGCAGCTTCTCCACGTGGAAGATGTCTGCTCTGGTGGGCATACATTCATTTTAGGAGAGAAACTAAACTCACAACCCTTCATTTTGGGGGATCCATCTTAAAACCAGGAAGGCCTTCCAGCCTGCCTTTTAATGGGTAATCATTTTTGGAATTCCTCCCTACCATGTATTCTTCTATTTTTTACCCTCTCCTCCTTGGTTTATGGGCATTTCTTGGAGGGCTGGGGGACCACAGTCAAGTTGAGGTGATCCCCGCTCCGGGGACGGAGTAAGGCAAGGAGGCGGGATCGGAATGTTGGAGGCAGAACCGCAAGCTCCCAGGGCCACCCAATCACAGGGCCAGTCATCCGTTGAGACCCTGCCTCCGCGCCCGGCAGCCACTCCGTATCTTCCTCGCATTATCGCAGGGTTGGGCCGAGGCCCGCGCATGCCTGCAGAAAACCTACGGCCGCGAGGGGTCGGGCCTCCTCCTGCTCCTACTCCCGAGAGGCTCCGGCAATGAGAATAGGCCCCGCCCCCCCGCGCAGCCAAGTCTACGGACCAAGTCCGAGCCTGCAGACAAGCTCCGCCCCCACGAGGGCCTGCTCCGGCTGACAGCGTCCGGCAGCGCGGCAGAGCCCCGCCCCCATGCGGGGGCACGCTTACTGACACCGTCCGTGCGCGCGGGAAGGGCCCAGCCTCGCGGCCCGGCGTGGCTTTGTGACGGGCCTCTGGTGGCCCAGCCCCTTCCAGCAGCGTCAGCAGATCCCAGTGGTTACGTTGGTGAGCGACGTCCGCCGGCGCTAGCCCAGCCTGGTCCCGCAGCTCTCGGGCTGCCCCCAGCCCCAGCAGTAGCTGGGCTACTTCCACCGCTCCTTCCCGCGCCGCCAGGAATAGCGGCGTCTGCTCCTGTACAGAAGAGCCAGGGCCGATATCAGGGAAGGCCACGCCCACAGGACTGGGCCTTTCTGCCTTCACTTGCGCGACCACTGGCCCCTATCCCTTCAGGCTTTGCGGGTTACCGCACTTTCCATCTCTCGTGCGCCTGACTGTTTTGTGGGAAGCCCTCTGTCCCATCTAACCCTGTTGTCCTGGGCATCTTTATCGGCTCCGGCCTGGAGAAGCGAGCGGGCGGCTCGGGCGTTGTTCACGGCAGCAGCCCAGTGCAGCGCAGTTTTCCCTAGGGGACGACGTGGGAGGTTGTTACCCCAGTTGGGGGCCAGACGCCTGGGTTCCGGTTTCCCACGGGTTCTGGCCTTGGGGGAAGGGCTATTCGGGCCGGCTGGTCCCTCAAAGGCGGGAAGCGTTGCCCAGGAGACCACCGGCCTGCAGGAAGTGTTGCCCTGGTGACGTCACCAGTGCGCGGGAGGGACAATGGGGCATTGTTCTGGGGTCGGTGAGACCGGGAGACAGTCTCCCCCCACGAGATTCCCCCCCCTTTCCACAGACACTGTGTTCCATGCCAGTTCCCCAGTAAGCTGGAGCGGAGGGCCAGTGTGGTGTTGAGGGTGGGAGTTGGGGGGGGAAACTCACGCGGCCCGTACTTCCACCGCATCTCAGATTGACCGCCGTAACAGCAGGATGAGAGGGAATGCCCCTCTGCTGCACCTATATTTTGCACGCTATCTCCCACCCCATCTGCTCAACTTCTCTATAGCATACATCACCCCTTCCTCTACATACCCCATTTATCTCTGGCCCCCACGTCTGCTTGGGCTGCAATCAGTTCTTCAACCAGGTCTTCCACCGCCAGCCTGGCAGCCAGCATCAAGGGTGTGGTCCCGTCCTCTGTGCGAGCGTCCACTGCAGTTTGTCTGCTACGGAGCAGAAGCTGGGGAGACAGAGGGCCACTGACACCTGGGGTACCTTGGACTGCCAACTCGAGTTCCTTACACTATTAACCCCACTCGCAATCCATATTCAGCCATCCTCCGCAGTTTCCCTGTCAGGTTCCCAATCACACCAATTTCCTCCTTGTCAAACTCTAGGGGATGCTTCTGTCCAGCTTTACTTGTAAGCTCGCCCCATTCCCTGTAGGGACCTCAGTGTGTGCTAACCTGGCAGACCTCCCGAGCATCAGCAGCCACAGCAGCATGAAGGGGTGTGCGCCCTGCCCGGTCTGGCTGGTTGGGGTTGGCTCCAGCCTCAAGGAGGCGGCGGGCAGCGGTTGGCCGGGAGAATCGGGCAGCCAGGTGCAGGGGGGTCTCCCCAGTGCCCACGGTGTGAGCCTGGGGACAGGCCCCTCCATCCAGCAGAGGTTCCCAGGGCTCAGGACATCCCAACCATGCCCCTTGGAAGGTCCCGGACTGTACTTCCCCACAGCAAACTGCTGACATCAGGGGTGTCACCCCATCTGTTGGTAAGACAGAGTAATGGGTCAATCTAAAGGACACAACAAGGGGGAAGGGACAACATGTAAGCTCAGAGAGAATCAAAACCTGAGGTGTTGGGAAGCTAAGTTCTGGCTCTGTGTGGCTTTAGCCAAGTGACTTTTCTGCTTTTCTCTGACTTCAGTTTCTTCCTCTGTAAAAGGAACCTGCAGCTTAATTCTCTGACATTCCAGGACAGTGGTTTTCTCTTTTTTTTTTTTTTTTTTTCTGAGACGGAGTCTCGCCCTGTCACCCAGGCTGGAGTGCAGTGGCGCGATCTCGGCTCACTGCAAGCTCCTCCTCCCAGGTTCACGCCATTCTCCTGCCTTAGCCTCCAGAGCAGCTGGGACTACAGGCTCCCGCCACCACGCCCGGCTAATTTTTTGTATTTTTAGTAGAGACGGGGTTTCACTGTGTTAGCCAGGATGGTCTCGATCTCCTGACCTTGTGATCCACCCGCCTTGGCCTCCCAAAGTGCTGGGATTACAGGCGTGAGCCACCACGCCCGGCCTAGCAGTGGTTTTCTCAAACGAGTCTGGATCAGATTCACCTGAAGGGCTTGTTAAAACAGATTGCCTAACATTTTAAATTCCTGAGTCAGTAGCTCTGTAGTGGAGCCCAATAATTTGCATTTCTGACAAATTCCCAGGTGATGCTGATTTTGCTGTCTGAGGACCACACTTTGAGAATCATTGTTCTAAGGCACTCAGTCTAAAATTATTTCCTCTAGTTCTGATATTAAAGGACTCTCTGATTCTAATAGGGTCAAAGGACTTTTTTTTTTTTTCTTGGTCTGGGTTGACTCACATACCAGGTCCACGGGTGTCCAGGTCAGGGGCTTCCATCTCAGATTCCTGGGGAGGAGTTAGCATGGCTGCCTGAGGGAGCGCCCCACAGCCACCACTCAGAGACCAGAGCTGGCACGTGGAGGGTGGGCCTGTTTCTTCAGCCTTTGGGTAACAGCAAGGATCAGTGAAGGTTGATTTGCCCTTTCATCCCTTCCATCACCTCCAGACCATTCTTGCCCCAGCCCTTTCACCTGGCCCACCTCCTCTCCCTCCTCAGGGCCTGAGCACATCACAACTCCATCCTCATCAACTTCTGCCTTTGGCTTCAGTGCCCTGGAAAGGAATGGGTGGGTAGAGGTTACACGGAATTATGACCATCAGGGTCTCCAAAATTTCCAGCAGGCTTCCCACCCCTCTCTCCTTCCCCTATCTTTGACTTCTGCAATAGTATTTCTTATCTTTTCTGATTGTAAATATCGCCATAGGAGAGACTCCCCTTCCTGAGCCTGGGTTTCTCCTCATTCTCACTTGAGACCAATGCTGTCCTCGCCTAGTGGGGGCCGGCGTCGGTGGGGAGCTGACTGAGTCCGAGGCCGTCGAGTGAAACCAGGGGGCAGCCAGAGAGCTCCATGCTCTCGGCGTCGACGCCGGATGAGCTGGAGGACGAGAAGAGCCCCTAGGGCCAGGAGAATCACCCCGGCCACTGGGGAGCACAGCACAGGCCAGGGAAGCTGGTTGGCAGGGGGTGCTGGTGGGAGAGACAGAGTCACAAAGAGAGGCCACTCCTGGTGAGACTGATTACTATTGGGAGACCTTTGGACAAGTTTAGTAGCCTGTCTTTGCCTCGGTTTCCTTATCTGCAAAATGGGGATGATAATATAGATTGAGGTTGGGCACAGTGGCTCATGCCTGTAATCCCAGCACTTTGGGAAGCTGAGGCAGGTGGATCATATGAGGCCAGGAGTTCGAGACCAGCCTGGCCAACATGGCAAAACCCCCTCTCTACTAAAAATATAAAAATTAGTGGCTGGGTGTAGTGGCTTACTCCTATAATCTCAGCACTTTGGGAGGCTGAGGCGGGTGGATCATGAGGTCAGGAGATCGAGACCATCCTGGCTAACATGGTGAAACCCTGTCTCTACTAAAAATACAAAAAATTAGCCAGGTGTGGTGGCGGGCACCTGTAGTCCCAGCTACTTGGGAGGCTGAGGCAGGAGAATGGCGTGAACTTGGGAGGTGGAGCTTGCAGTGAGCCGAGATCGCGCCACTGCACTCCGGCCTGGGCGACAAGGCAAGACTCTGTCTCAAACAAAACAAAACAAAACAAAACAAAAACAAAAAAAATTATCAGGGCATGGTGGCATGCCATTGTAATTCCAGCTACTCAGTAGTCTGAAGCAAGAGAATTGCTTAAACCCAGGAGGCAGAGGTTGCAGTGAGCTGAGATGGCGTCACTGTACTCCAGTGTGGCTGACAGAGTAAGACTGTCTCAGAAAACAAACACACAAAAAAAGGCTGAGTATCCATAACCCCAATCCCAAATCTGAAATGTTCCAAAGTCTGAAACTTTTAGAGTACCAACATAACGCTCAAAGGAAATGCTCATTGTAGCATTTGGATGTTGTATTAGGGATGCTGAACCAGTAAGTATAATGCAAATATTCCAAAATAAATCCGAAATCTGAAACACTTTTGTTCCCAAGCATTTCAGATAAGGGATACTCAACCAGCAGTACGTGCCTCATGGGGTTGTGGGGGAGGATTAAATGAGGTAACAATGTAAAATGCTTAGAGTAAGGCACAAAGTACGATATAGCAGTTATTTTTCTTTTTTTTTTTTTTGAGATGGAGTCTCCCTCTGTCGCCCAGGCTGGAGTGCAGTGGCGCGATCTCGGCTCACTGCAAGCTCCACCTCCCAGGTTCACGCCATTCTCCTGCCTCAGCCTCCTGAGTAGCTGAGACTACAAGCACCCGCCACCACAGCCGGCTAATTTTTTTATTTTTAGTAGAGACAGGGTTTCACCGCATTAGCCAGGATGGTCTCAATCTCCTGACCTCGTGATCCACCTGCCTTGGTCTCCCAACGTGCTGGGATTATAGGCATGAGCCACTGCGCCCAGCCTATTATTCTTTCATGTACTATGAATTGTCTGATACAAAGACTATTAGGTATTCTCAGTCTGGTAGAGAAGATAAACCATCCCTTTGTTGGAGGGCTATGACAGAGGTTAGGATAATGTGCTTAGGGAAATAAGGAAGGAGACTGTAGAACAAATGGGCCAGTGGGAGATTCAGTTAGAGAAAGCGGGGTTAGGGAAAGTAAGTCCCCACAAAGAACATTTTCAGTCTCAGCTGTCCTGTTTGATTCAGCCTCCATTGCCTGTTGCTAGCATGAGAGCTGGCCTGGGAACAGAGGTCAGAGAAAGTGGCAAGGGGTCACCTACCGGTCCCTGCATGAGGGTGGACAGCCAGCAGTGGTCCAGGCAGCAGGGGCTCCAGGGCTCCCACTGCAGCCATCGCAGCAAGGAAGCGGAGTAGAAGCCCAGGGTCCCAGGGACAGCGGGATGCCGGGTGGTCAGGGCCACAGCGGGACAAATCCACACCCATGACCACCACAAACCTGTAGAGGAGGCACCTCAGAGACCTCTGTATTGGTCCCTGGCTCCCTTTCCTCCCTCTGCCCTCTTAAAAAAACTGGTGTCTGGCCCTTCCCTCCACCTAGCTTCTTACCCAGCACTGAGGGAGTCGGTCTCCTTGCCCAGGGGCTGCGTTTGAGGGGCTGCTCTCTCCTGATAGGTGGGGTCCCGAGTTCCTCCTAGCTTTTCTTCAGCCCGGGCCCCAGGATAGGGGTACACCATGTCCCTGCCATCACGATCCTTCCTTACCCAGAGTCCTACCCTCAGAGTCAGGGACAGCACCCGGGCCAGGGCAAACAGCTGCTGGTCTAGGGCTGGGGGGCTCAGTACCACCAGCAGGGCCAGGGAGGGCCCCCACTCTGGGTCCCCATCTTCAGGCCTGCAGTCACCTCCATCCCAGCCACACTCTGCAGTGTTGCAGCCTTTCTCACAGTGCCCGTTGTGGAAGTGATCATGGCAGTACTGGTCATAGGCTGGACTGTGGGGTAAGGAGAGGGGGACTCAGGACCTCCCTAAAACCTGACTCTTTTCTTCACCCTAGAAAGAATTCCCCATATTTTGTGCCCTCTAGGGCTTTGGTTGCTAAGTGGGGGCAGCTGTGGAGCAATGAGCTTAGTCAAGTCCTGGATGGTAGTCCAGACACCCCAATGTCTGCTAACACCCCTGTCTCCCTAGACTGTCCCCTCTCTGTACCCTCCCAAGCTCTCCTCTGTTTCTAAAGGAGAGTCCCAGGCCCTTTTCCCTCTGTGAGGTGCTGACTGCTAGGGGAAATACCCCATGGCAGCAAGGCTTAGGGAAGGAGGCTTGAGACCTGAGTTCCTACAACTCTTAGAGAGGAGCCCAAAGGCCACGCCCCACATTAAATACTGATGCCACCCCATTACCCTAGGTTGGAGTCCAGAGTCTTCGACCCCTGTTTAGTGATGGTTATTAGGGTGGAAACTCCCTGGAGCCCAAGGCTGTGGCCACACTGTAACTCAGAGCCATCTACGTCCTTCCTCCTCCTCTCACCCACCCCTCTCCTTCCCTGGCTCCAGTGGATTTCAGGCTCACGTGCAGGCTGGAGGGGTCTCACAGTCGTAGCCATCAAACAGACACTCTTCAGAGTCACACTGTGGGTGGCACTGCCCGTCCCGGAAGAGAAGCCAGCACCGAGAGTGGGAGGGGCAGCCCTTCCAGGGGTCTGGGACTCCCAGAGAGCAGTCCCCTCCATCCCAGTTTCCTCCCGGGCCACTGCAGCCAGCATCGCAGGCCCCATCTCCACTTCTGCCCTCACACCCCTTGGCTCCGGGTTTCTGACACCGGGGCCCTGGAGAGCTGTGAGGGCAGGAGCATCGAAAGCCTGGGCCCCCCAAGCCCGTGGTCTCTGAGCAGCTGCCATTGTATAGGCATGGGGAGGGAGGGCCACAGCCTTTAGGAGCTGGTGGGGTCAGGCAGTCAGGACCCCCATAGCCACTGAGGCAGGCACAGCGTGGTGGGAAGCCTGGCTTAGGGGAGGGCAGACACAGGCCTCCGTGGTGGCAGTGATGGAAGCCGCAGGAAGGGGCCCTGTGGCTGCAGGTGGGGCCTTCAAAACCCTGTGGAGGGGAGGGGAGATATTGGAGATGCAACTTGCATTATTCTTCCCGCTCTCTATCAAGCAAACTCTTGGGTTAAGACGGTGCAAGGGTCCTAGATTCTCATATCTAAAAGGCGCCTCAGAGAGCATCAAGTTAATCATTTTGTGGATGTTGAAACCATGTCCTGTGGTAATTTCACACAATGACATATTACATTCTGTTGAAAATGGATGAAGCACAGCTGTGTGCAACAACCTGATGGACTGTGGCATTACAGTGCAAGTCCTAGAAGACTAAACAGTTAATAGAATGCTATTATATTATTATTATTATTATTTTTGAGACAGAGTTTCGCTCTTGTTGTCCAGGCTGGAGTGCAATGGTGCAATCTCAGCTCATTGCAACCTCTGCCTCCCGGGTTCAAGCAATTCTCCTGCCTCAGCCTTCCCAATAGCTGGGATTACAGCCATGCACCACCACGCCCAGCTAATTTGTATTTTTAGTAGAGACAGGGTTTCTCCATGTTTGTCAGGCTGGTCTCGAATGCCCGACCTCAGGTGATCCGCCTGCCTCGGCCTCCCAAAGTGCTGGGATTACAGGCGTGAGCCACTGTGCCCGGCAGGCTGTTATATTATTATCTTACTCCTTAGAAATAGGATCATATGTCTTCCTCTTCCTCTGGAGAGGGAACAGGATACAGGAGGAGGACTTAAGTAGATGTAAGTTATTATTAATATTGAAATTCTTGGGTTAGGTTCATGGGTGTTACATTGTTAGAATAATAAAATAAAAGAAGACCAGGCATAAACCAATGTCAGTGTATCAGGAACCAAAGCTTAAGATTAGTCTAATTCCATGCATCTGAGGTCCATAAATACATATACAAACACACACAGAGTTAAAATAACCTATCTGAGGCCACCCACCACGCAGCTTGAGCTTGGGGAGCTCCTGACCTTCCCTTAGGCAACGCCTGTGATTTTTGAAAATTCCATTCATGCTATCAACTGATCCTGCCTTGCCTTTGACTGCTTCTGAGAGACACTTCCCACTGTGAGCTTGGCATGGCTTTTTCCAATAATTTCCACATCAGTGCTCACCCACAGTCCCTTCTGGGATTCCAACTGAGGTATTCTTGCCTTGTCAGCATAGGGGGCAACAGAGAAGGCAGATTTGTGGTCACTTGCCTTGGGGCAGTGGCAGATGAAACCCAGGGGTGATCCTGCTGTGGCCTCACAGGTCCCTCCATGAAAGCAGGGTTGGCTGTGGCAGGGGTCTATCTCCACCTCACACCACTGGCCTGTAATTATGGGGGAGATTAGACGTCACACACTGCATCAGTCACTGCCTCCATCCTAGCTCATTCCTGGATGTTGGCCCAGTGCTAGATGTGCAGGTGAAGGGATCCTGGGGCATCTTTTCTGGGCGGGGGTGGGCGTGGAGGCAGGGGATGGACCAGGTGACGGCTGCCGCATGGGTGGAGACTATCTGGCTCTCCATGGTCTGCTTGGCTGTGCTCCAGACACACTTGTGCCCCTTGTCTTGGGGCCTCACCTGTGTGTCCAGGCAGACACTGGCAGTAGAAGGCATTGGCCAGAGAGTGGCAGGCTGCAGTGCCTGTGGGGTGGCAGGGCTGGTCCAGACACTCGTCCACGTCTCCCTCACAGCGTAGCCCCACAAAGCCTGGAGGGCAGGCACAGTGGAAGCCTCCAGGTTTGGGAGTACAGGTTCCATGGTTGTGACAGGGTTGGGACTGACAAGCATCGAGTTCCTTTGAGCAGTTCTGTCCATCGTAGCCTGGGGCACACTGCAGACAAAGAGGATTAGACAGGGAACCAGTGGATGAGCCCAACCCAGCACTACAAGGGACCCAGCTCAAGATAGTCTGTCCAGTCCCCCACCTTCCAGCTCAACAGCATCACTCAACTCACCATCCATCATGGCCATGTGTCACAATCCTTCTATCTCAACTCCCCATGAGACACAATTGTTGGCGACACACAACTCAAACTTCCCCAGTCCCAAACAATCTCTATGACACACTGCCACCAAACACAGCACCATTTTTGGTAAAACCTTCCTCCCCTGCTAAATACCTACCAGGCTCTCTCATACTTTATTAATTCATAAGCATCTATTGAGTGCCTACTTTGTGTCAGGCACCGTTTTAGGCACTAGGAATACAAAGAAAGTTAGAACCCATTCCTATTTCCTGGAAGCTCTCAGTCAACCAGAGGAAAGAAATGACTAGCATTTATTGCATGATTTATATACATAACCTAAAAATCCCCCTAATGACATTTTATTTGGGTTATCTCATTCGATTTTTACTTTGCACGTAAGGAAGCTGAGTCTCTGAAAGGTTAGTGACTTGTGCAAGTCAAATAGCTATAGGTGGCAGAGCTGGGAATCAATGAAGGTCTGTGACTCCAAACCAATGCTCTTAACCATTTTCTGCTTCTTCATGCCACTCAGCTAGTGAGAGAAGGGTCATTGGCAAGATCTGTACCACGTGCTGGCTTCTTGCAAGAGGAAAGAGAGTGTGCAAGAGTACAGTACCAGGAAGGCAGGCTTCAAAGAGAGAAAAGGGAATTCACAGAGAATCCAAGGAGTGGTCAGAGAGCTGGAAGGAACAGGTGATGGGGGTGTTTTGGAGGAGGGAGCTTCATAAAAGAAGAAGTAAATAGCCGGGTGCGGTGGCTCACGCCTGTAATCCCAGCACTTTGGTAGGCTGAGGTGGGCAGATCACGAGGTCAGGAGTTCGAGACCAGCCTGGCCAATATGGTGAAACTCCATCTCTACTATAAATACAAAAATTAGCCGGGCATGGTGGCATGTCCCTGTAGTCCCAGCTACTCAGGAGGCTGAGGCAGGAGAACCGCTTGAACCCGGGAGGCAGAGGTTGCAGTGAACCGAGATCGCGCCACTGTACTCTAGCCGGGGCAACAGAGTGAGATGCTGTCTCAAAAAAAAAAAAAAAAAAAAAAAAAAGAATAAGTAAAGCTGAGTAATGGGTGCCCAGAGGTTTACTACTGATCAGTATACTGCTTTTGTTTATGTTTGAAAATGTTCATAATAAAAGGTTAAAAAATAAAATAAAAAAGTGAAAAAAGAGGGTAGGTTAGGGTATCTGTCTTGAGCCTTCTATCAAAAGTTGTGGTTCTGGCCGGGCACGGTGGCTCACGCCTGTAATCCCAGCAGTTTGGGAGGTCAAGGCGGGTGGATCACTTGAGGTCAGGATTTTGAGACCAGCCTGGCCAACATGGTGAAACCCCATCTCTACTAAAAATACACACATACACAAAATTAGCTAGGTGTGGTGGCAGGCACCTGTAATCCCAGCTACTGGGGAGGCTGAGGCAGGTGAATTGCTTGAGCCCGGGAGGTAGAGGTTGCAGTGAGCTGAGATTGCACCACTACATTCCAGCCTGAGTGACAGAGCAAGACTCTGTCTCAAAAAAAAAAAGCTGTGGTTCTATATCTCAAAATAATAAAAGCCATATATGACAAACCCACAGCTAACATCATACTGAATGGGGAAAAGTTGAAAGCCTTTCCTCTAAGATCTGGAACAAGACAAGGATGCTCACTTTCACTATTTTTATTCAAGGTAATACTGGAAGTCCTGGCCAGAGCAATTAGGCAGCAGAAAGAAATAAAGGGCATCCAAATTGCAAAAGAAGAACTCAAATTATCCATGTTCACAGATGACATAATCCTATATTTAGAAAAACCTAAAGAAAACACTGGTTATAAACAAATTCAGTAAAGCTGTAGGATACAAAATCAATGTAGAAAAAGTAGTAGCATTTCTATACGCTAACAGCAAACAATCAGAAAAAGAAATCAAGAAAGCAATCCCATTTATAATAGTTACAAAAAATAAAAACAAATGAATAAATTTAACCAAAGAAGTGAAAGAGTACTGCAATGACAGCTATAAAACATTGATGAAATAAATTGAAGAGGACACAAAAAAATGGAAAGATATCCTGTGTTCATGGATTGGAAGAATGAATACTGCTAAAATGTCTGTGCTTACCAAAGTGATCTACAGAGTCATGCAACCCCTATGAAAATACCAATAATATTCTTTACAGAAATAGAAAAAACAACCCTAAAATTTATCTGAACTGTAAAAGACCCAAATAGCCAAAGCAGTCCTGAGCAAAAAGAACAAAGCTAGAGGTACCACACTACCTAACTTAAAAATATACTATAAAGCTATAGTAACCAAAACAGCATGGTGCTGGCATAAAAAACAGACACATAGACCAATGGAATGTAATAGAGAGCCCAGAAAAACAAGTCCAAACATTTAACAGCCAACTTACTTTCTTTTTTCTTTTCTTTCCTTTTTTTTTTTTTGAGATGGAGTCTTGCTCTGTTGCCAGGCTGGAGTGCAATGGCACGATCTGGCTCACTGCAACCTCCACCTCCTGGGTTCAAGCGATTCTCCTGCCTCAGCCTCCTGAGTAGCTGGGATTACAGGTGCGCACCACCATGCCTGGCTAATTTTTGTATTTTTAGTAGAGACGGGGGTTTCACTATGTTGGTCAGGCTGGTCTCGAACTCCTGACCTTGTGATCTGCCCGCCTCGGTCTCCCAAAATGCTGGGATTACAGGCATGAGCCACCACTCCCGGCCAGCCAACTTACTTTCAACAAAGGCACCAAGTACACACACTGGGGAAAGGACACTCTCTTCAATAAATTGTGCTGGGAAAACTGGATATCCATATGCAGAAGAAACTAAACCTAGGCCGGGCGGGGTGGCTCACGCCTGTAATCCCAGCACTTTGGGAGGCGGAGGTGGGTGGATCACCTGAGGTCAGGAGTTTGAAACCAGCCTGACCAATATGGTGAAACCCCATCTCTACTAAAATTACAAAAATTAGCCGGGCGTAGTGGTGTGCACCTGTAGTTCCAGCTACTCAGGAGGCTGAGGCAGGAGAATCAGTTGAACTTGGGAGGTGGAGGTTGCAGTGAGCTGAGATCATACCACTGCACTCCAGACTGGGCAACAGGGCAACAGAGCAAGACTCTATCCCCCCCCCAAAAAAAAAGAAAAAAAGAAACTAAATCTCTATCTGTCATCATATACAAAATAGATTAAAGCCTTACATGTACAGCTGGAAACTTGAAGCCACTAAAAAAAAAATTCAGCCGGGCACGGTGGGTCACACCTGTAATCCTCAAACACAAGGTCAGGAGTTTGAGACCAGCCTGGCCAACATGGTGAAACCCCGTCTCTACTAAAAATACAAAAAAATAGCTGGGCGTGGTGGTGGGCACCTGTAAATTCCAGCTATTTGGGAGGCTAAGGCAGGAGAATCGCTTGAACCCAGGAGGCAAAGGTTGCAGTGAGTCAAATTTGCGCCACTGCACTCCAGCCCAGGCGACGGTGCAAGACTCCTTCTCAAAAAAAAAAAAAAAAATCATTTGGGAAATGCTTCAAGACATTGGTCTGGGCAAAAGTTTTTTGGGTAAGACCTCAACAGCCAGGCAACAAAGGCAACAACAGACAAATGTGATTACATCAAGCTAAAAAGTGTCTGTGCAGCAAAGGAAACAATTAATGGAGTGAAGAGGCAACCTACAGAATAGAAGAAAATATTTGCAAACTGTCTGACAAGGGATTAATAATCAGAACGTATAAGGAACTCAACAGCAAACACCACCACTACCACCACCGACAAATAATGTGGTTTAAAAAATGAGCAAATTATCTGAACAGACATTTCTCAAAAGAAGACATACAAATGGCCAACAGGTATATGGATGCAAATCAGGGAAATGTAAATCAAAACCACAATGAGATATCATCTCACACCAGTTAAAGTGGCTATTATTGAAAACACAAGGGCCAAGTGTGGTGGCCCATGCCTGTAATCCCAGCACTTTCAGAGGTTGAGGCGGGAAGATCATTTGAGGTCAGGAGTTCGAGACCATCCTGGCC
>NT_167244.2:3644185-3688751 GCF_000001405.40 Homo sapiens
GGCCAAATTAGCTCTCCTATCTCAAGTGTCACCCTTTTTCCAAGACAACATAAGCAAACAACTGTAAAGGGCAGGAGATTTAAGAGTCTTTAGAGTTGTGAGTAGTTAACAAAGGAATGGTGTTGTAGGGGAGGAAGAATAGCGCTTTCTTTTTCTGAAGGCAAATGAGTAGCACTTTGAGATTTGCTTACAGTGATTGGGGGTATCTGTGAGAAAGGATGTGTGGCAACCCATCTCCTGGTTGAATAGTGGATTTGTTGATTTGTTTTGTGCCTATCTGAATGAAGGAAAATAAAATTGGAGAGAGACAGTAGTGCAGAGTGTCCTTGTTCTGTGATAAGGATTCTTGAGCCTCCTGAGGGTTCAGTGGGCAGTGCAAAATACATCCTGGCTTGAGCCTTCTTGCTAGTATGTCACTCAAGTGGGTGGCCTACTTGGTAAGGGCATCTCTGCAGTACGAGCAATGAAGTGTATTGCTCGAGAGGGAGTTGAGGGGCTCTGGAATTGGCAAGACTAGAGTCAGTACTCCCACATCAGGGACTAGGCATGGTCGAGTTCTTGTATGTTCCTCCAAAGAACTGGAATATGTATTGTACAAGACATTTGGGTGTCTGCTCTAGATGACATCAAAGGACAGTCAGTCTCAGGTTCTCAGAGAAAAGAACCTACAACTAACAGAGGAAGGAGATTGCATGCCCCAAATCCATCCTCTCAGCCTCAACAGTGGGAATTATAACAACGGTGGGAATTATAGCAACAAGGAGAGTGGACAGGAAGGGGAAGCACATTGTATTTCTCCTCCCCATTCTGAGTCAGTGTGCCTGAGACGGGCCATTAGGAGAGGAGAGGGTTTTAAAGGGGATGGCTTAAGCATTTTAAATAATTTAGCATAACTAGAAAATTATGGGTTCTAAGACATCATTAAATGATAGGAAGGAGACACATGGCAGAGAACATGCTTGAAGCTTGCTAAGGTCAGATTATTTAATTAATTAGTCCTAAATGTTCCAGGCATCTAGAACCAAGCATACACAAAACTGAACTCACAATAGCATCCTATAAATCTGCTCTTCTCCACTACCTAAATCAATAAATAGTTTCATTCGTCAAGTTTCTTAGACCCCAAATCTAGGAGTAACCCTTGGTGTCTTCTTTTTCCCTTAAAATCACATTCAGTCGAACAGCAGGCCCTGTTGGCTTTGCCCCCAAAATAAATAAAATCTGAAGACCTTCTTCCCACTTCCACTCTGATCACTCTTCTCATTGCCACACTCACCTTTAGTTTCAGGCCTCTTAACTGGTCTTCCTACTTGCCCTCTTGAGCCCTCACTCTCACTCCAGTTAATCCTCCACAATAATAGAGTGATCTTTTAAAATTATAAAGTAGACCCTATCATTTCCCTGTTCAAGCCCTTCAGTTACTTCTCATGATGCCTAGAATGAAATCTGCAATTTTTTATTAAGGACTGCAGGGCCCGACATAATCTGGCTTTTGTCGCTCTGGCCCTACCTCCTGCTCTGCCTCCTTCTTTCTAGCCTGGCTGGCTGTTTTGCACCTCCATAGCAGGCCTGTGCATGTTGTACTTGTTCCTTTTGCCTGAAGCACACTCCCCCTTCTATACCATCTTTCTTTAGTCTGTTACTCTTCTTATTTTTCTACATGAATTTATCTGCCTGACATTTACTGTATGTTTACTTGGCATTATTTGCCTGTTTTATCTCAACATATAAACTCCTTAAGTGCAAGGACTTTGTCTTGCTCATGGCTATATTTCCAGTGCTTAGGATAATGCCTGGCCTACAATAGGCCAATATATATTTGTTGAATACATATATTTTTAAAATGCATTAATATCTTTGAAGACTTTTTCTTTTTTTTCCTTTAGTGTTTGACTTGTTCAATGCTGTTAGGTTTCTTATTTTAGTCTTCTTCAGATTGCTCTAGTTATATTTCTCTGGGTTGGAATTCTCCAATTTGTTGGGACTTGTGAGGTATCACTCATATGGTGCTGGATTTTCTCATAGATTTCATAACTTTTAGTAGTTTCTTATTCCTTGGGGGCTATCTTTCATGGATATTCTATGATATAAATACCCTGGGTTGTGGATCCCTTCTTGGTGGCTATTGTCCTAACTTCCTGGGTACACTGCCACTGAACCAGATCTCAGCTGTTTTAACTTGGAATATTATGCACACTGCATGGGTAGCACACCTCCAGCAGGGCTCTGCACCCTGGACAGATCTAACTCTGGACCTGTGTGGATGGCTTTGTTTTCATGCCTGGGGCAGATGGGTGAAGATATTTTGGCTTCTCCGCGTGGGGAGGCAGCGTGTTTTCTGCTCCTGGCTTTACTCCAAGTGGTGGAATTCCAGTTTTCTACATGTTGTATCTTGAGGCTTTGTCCACCATCTAGGATCAGGTGTTGAAACCCTACCTTTGTTCCTGAGGCAAAGCTGCTACCTCTGTTTCCTCATCCCCTCACCATTCCTCCCAAGAGCTTAACTTTAGCTTTCCTTTCTTTATATGTGTTCCTATATTCCATTTCTGCTCCTTGGAAATCACTCTTACCCTCCTTCTTTATGCTTAGGTATGACTGTGCATTTTTCATTTAAAAATATTTCCAGCCAAGACTTAGCCAGCCAAAAATGAGGTGTTATAAACCCTAGTTACTTTAGCATTCCTTTTTTCTTTCTCCCTACCCCTCGGGTATTGGATTTTTACATTATTTCCCTGCCCATCCTCTTTGATGACTCCTCTGAAAAGGACACTATGCATTCAATTTGGGTTCTGCCTTGTAATTTCTAGCTGTGAGACCAATAATCCCTTCTCCTGAACTTTGGTGGGCCTTGGTCTCTGTTCCCAATTATATGGCCCATGTGCAAACATAGACATCTGGAATTTCCAGCTTCATTTCTGGGTCTCAACCACTGAGTATGTATTTTCATCTGTGCAGTGAGAATACTTAGCTGATCAGCCTCTTTGCTCAGGCTTCAGAAAGGTATGTGGATAGGGATTTTGGAGAGACACTCACTTATAATTCTTTGTTGACAGTTCCATTTCTCTTCACTCAAATACCAATGTCTTTGTCCTAACATTATTGAAATTAATAAAATGTTGTTATTATGAAAACTATATCCAGAGTGTGTTTAGAAGGAACTGGAGGAGGATATATAAGCATATTTGAAATCTGTTAGAATAACATAGATGTCTTTCATGTTTAAAAATTGGAAAATTTTACCTACTATCTGGATTAAGTGAGATGCTTCTTGCATGAAGAGGTTGGCTGGAGCTGGGCAGCAGCTACCTTCTTCAGACTATGCGTGTCCTCCCAGTTTAACACAGTTCCCAGGAGACTCACCTCAACTCGCTCATTTACTGACCTGCCTGGGCTCTTTTGGCATCTGCGTTTTTAACCTTGACAGGAACTTTGGGTTTTAATATTAATGTGATTTAATTTCAGGATGAGGAATCTCAGCTGATATTGGGTTTGCTTAAATCATTTGTAACTGAGATATGAGAACCAGATTTGCATTTTGGAAAACTAGGACACAGTGTGAAAGGTGCTTTCACGAATTCTATATTAAATATCATCATGGTCAACGCTTGATCTGGTTTAAAAATTGAGTCACTGTTGGTATGTGTTACCTTGGAAGTTGGGTTTAGAACTAAAATAATGGGGCTGGGCGTGGTGGTTCACACCTGTAAACCCAGCACTTTGGGAGGCCAACGCGGGCGGATCACTTGAGGTCAGGAGTTCAAGAACAGCCTGGCCAAATGAGGAAACCCTGTCTCTACTAAAAATACAATAATTAGCTGGGCATGGTGGCTTGCACCTGTATTGCTAGCCACTTGGGAGGCTCAGGCAGGAGAATTGCTTGGACTCGGCAGGTGGAGGTTGCAGTGAGCCTAGATCACGCCACTGCACTCCAGCCTGTGTGACAGAGTGAGACTCTGTCTCAAAACAAAACAAAACAAAAAAACCTAAATAATGGGAAATATTACAGTTATGAATCAAAAAGTTTGTCTTGCAGTCCTAATCTGGAGGACTTTGGGTAATGTAGAAGCAAATGAATATGAGAAATATGAGTCTCAATCTTTTGGATACTTAGAAGTGGAAACATCTAACATAAATCTCCACATATGACCAGCTGAGAAATAAAGAACTTACTTGCAGTTCTCTGCGAAATTACTAAAAAATAAGCAAAAAGAAATCCATTTAATTTTTCTCAAATGGAGAAAACATAGCATTATCTAACATATTTTGTTGGAGTCTGTGAGGGGAGGACTTGTGTGGGCAAAGAAGGAAGCATTCCAAACCACCCTATAGATTAGTTTTAGATTAGTTTTACAATGCAAAACTAGATATAAGATTAGGCAGTGATGATGTGATGAAATCAAAGGTAGGGTTTCCTTAAAGGCCCTCTTCATTTACTGGACCCAACAGCTTTGGGTATAGTCTCGGGTAGAGACTGCCATATCTTTCTGTTTCCTTTGAATAGCATTATAATGTTTGAGAGAACACTGAAAGCCTCTCTCCATTTAAACATCATTATGGATTTCATCTCTCAATAATTCTGCTTACGTGTTATTTCATAATATTGTTCAGTTTATTACTGATGAATCCTAGCTTAGTCCCTCTTTTAATTAGTGTTTAAAAAGATTCTCTGTAATATAGACCATGTAGGGTAATAAGGAAGCAAGGGAATAATGGGAACCACAAATCACTTTGACAGAAGTGAAGTGAAGGGGACCAAAGAGAACCAAAGTAGAAAAAGACATGTAATACTTACTTATAGGTGCTGCCAGCTGACCTAAAAAAATTAGATATCAGTGAAGATTTGTTTGAAAGGAGCAAGTTTCCTTCTAGGGAGAGATATTTGTGTTGGGGAGAATCTTGGTAGTCACACAGCTCTGGATGACAATGGCTAATTCTCTGTTAAAAGCTCCAATTCTTTATGACTGCATTCTTGGGTAAGTATTTGGGTCAGTTTCTTATCTCTTACAAAGGGGTTAGTGGAGTGATTCTAAGGATTAAATGGGATTATGTAATTAAAGCACCTATATAATTCTATAGGAGGTGCAAAGTACATATGTGTTTGAAATCATGTAAATGTAAGCTTCCTTCTCAGGGAGAAGCTAGATTAGCAGAGGGCAGAGGAAACTGGGAGCTTTGAGTCAGGTAGCTGCACACAGAGTTAGAAATGAGTAGGGTAGGCCAGGCGCCTTGGCTCACACCTGTAATCCCAGCACTTTGGGAGGTCGAGGCAGGCGGATCACGAGGTCAGGAGATCAAGACCATCCTGGCGAACACTGTGATGTTCTAAAAATACAAAAAAATTTCTCCTCCCTATTCTGAGTCAGTGTGCCTGAGACTGGCCACTAGGAGAGGAGAGGGTTTTAAGAGGGGTTGGCCTGAGTGTTTTTAATAATTTAACATGATTAGAAAATTATGGTATGCTACCAGGCTACAGTAAGCAAAACAGTATGGCACTAGTAGGAAATAGACACATAGATCAATGCAACAGAATACAGAGCCCAGAAATAAGGCCACATGACTACAACTATCTGAACTTTAACAAAGCTGAGAAAAACAAGCAATGGGGAAAGGGCTTCCTATTCAATAAACGATACTGGGATAACTGGCCAGCCATATGCAGAAGATTGAAGCTGGACTCCTTCCTTACACCACATACGAAAATTAACTCAAGATGGTTTAAAGATTTAAGTGTAAAACCCAAAGCTATAAAAACCCTGGAAGACCACCTAGGCAATACCATTCTGGACATAGGAATGGGCAAAAATTTCATGATGAAGACAACAAAAGCAACTGTAACAAAAGCAAAAATTGACAGATGGGATCTAATTGAACTAAAGAGCTTCTGCCCAGCAAAAGAAACTGTCAACAGAGTAAATAGGCAACCTACAGAATGGGAGAAAGTTTTTGCAAACTATGCATCTGGCAAAGGTCTAATATCCAGCGCCTGTAAGGAACTTAAACAAATTTACAAGACAAAAACAATCCCATTAAAAAGTTGGCAAAAAAAGGGAATAGGCACTTTTCAAAAGAAGACGTACATGCAGCTCACAAACATATGAAGAAAAGCTCAACATCACTGATTGTTAGAGAAATGCAAGTCAAAACCACAATGAGATACCATCTCGCACCAGGCAGAATGGCCATTATCAAAATGTCAGAAAATAACAGATACTGGGGAGGCTGTGGAGAAAAAGGAACAGTTTTACCTTGTTGGTGGCAACGTAAATTAGTTCAACCATTGTGGGAAACAGTGTGGCAATTCCTCAAAGACCCCAAAACGGAGCTACCATTCGACCCAGCAATCCCATTTCTGGCTATATGCCCAAAGTAATAAAAATTGTTCTATCATAAAGAAACACACGTGTGTTTATTGCAGCACTATTCACAGTAACAATGACATGGAATCAACCTAAATGCCCGTCAACGATAGACTGGATAAATAAAATGTACATATACACCATGTAATACCATGCAGCCATAAAAAGGAACAAGATCATGTCCTTTGCAGGAACATGGATGGAGCTGGAGGGCGTTATCCTTAGCAAACTAATGCAGGAAGAGAGAACCAAATACCACATGTTCTCACTTACAAATGGGAGATAAATGATGAGAACACATGGACACAGAAGGAAACAACAGGCACTGGGGCTTATTGAAGGGTGGAGGGTGAGAGGACGTAGACAGACAGGAAAAATAACTAAGGGGTTCTAGGCTTAATACCTGGGTGATGAAATAATCTGTACAACAAACCTGCATGACACAAGTTTACCTATATAACAAACTGCACATGTATCCCTGAACTTAAAACTTAAATAAAAATAAAGAAAGCAAGTTGATACTACTTATCATAATATTTCCTTACAAGTAAATAAAGGAAAGCTAAAAAAAGCCAACCAAAGACATAATGAAATATTATTTGGCCATAAAAAGAACTGAAGTACTGCTGCATATTACCATGTGGATGAACCTGGTGAACCTTATGCTAAATGGAAGAAGCCAGGCACAAAAGACCTCCTATTGTTTGATTCCATTTATATGAAATGTCCAGAACAGCTGAATCTATAGAGACAGAAAGAAGATTAGTGGTTGCCTGGGGCTATGGTGTGGAGAGGGTTTTGGGTTGGGGGATAGTGGGAAGTGATTGCTAAACAGAGTTTTTCTGGGGGGTGATGAGAATGTTCTAAAATTCATTGTGGTGATGGTTGCACAACCCAGTGAATATACTAAAAAGCATTAAATTCCACACTTTAAATGAGTGAATTATGTCATATGTGAATATCATCTCAATAAAGCTGTTATTTACAAAGATAAAAAAGATAAAATTATGGGTTCTAATGCATCATTAAGGGACAGAGAGGAGATATTTTCCAGAAAACATGCTTGAAGCCTGCTAAGGTCAGATTATTTAATTAATTAGTCCTAAATATCCCAGGCATCTAGAACCTAACATATGCAAAACTGAACTCACAATAGCATCCTATAAATCTGCTCTTCTCCGCTACCTAAATGAATAAATAGTCTCATTCGTCAAGTTTCTTAGACCCCAAATCTAGGAGTAACCCTTGGGGTCTTCTTTTTCCCTTAAAATCACATTCAGTCGAACAGCAGGCCCTGTTGGCTTTGCCCCCAAAATAAATAAAATCTGAAGACCTTCTTCCCACTTCCACTCTGATCACTCTCTCCTTGCCACACTCACCTTAATTTCAGGCCTCTTAACTGGTCTTCCTACTTGCCCTCTTGAGCCCTCACTCTCACCCCAGTTAATCCTCCACAATAATAGAGTGATCTTTTAAAATTATAAAGTGGGCCCTATCATTTCCCTGTTCAAGCCCTTCAGTTGCCTCTCATGACACCTAGAATGAAATCTGCAATTTTTTATTAAGGACTGCAGGGCCCGACATAATCTGGCTTTTGTCGCTCTGGCCCTACCTCCTGCTCTGCCTCCTTCTTTCTAGCCTGGCTGGCTGTTTTGCACCTCCATAGCAGGCCTGTGCATGTTGTACTTGTTCCTTTTGCCTGAAGCACACTCCCCCTTCTATACCATCTTTCTTTAGTCTGTTACTCTTCTTATTTTTCTGCATGAATTTATCTGCCTGACATTTAGTATATGTTTACTTGGCATTATTTGCCTGTTTTATCTCAACATATAAACTCCTTAAGTGCAAGGACTTTGTCTTGCTCATGGCTATATTTTCAGTGCTTAGGATAATGCCTGGCCTACAATAGGCCAATATATATTTGTTGAATACATATATTTTTAAAATGCATTAATATCTTTGAAGACTTTTTCTTTTTTTTCCTTTAGTGTTTGACTTGTTCAGTGCTGTTAGGTTCCTTATTTTAGTCTTCTTCAGATTGCTCTAGTTATATTTCTCTGGGTTGGAATTCTCCAATTTGTTGGGGCTTGTGAGGTATCACTCACCACTCACATGGTGCTGGATTTTCTCATAGATTTCATAACTTTTAGTAGTTTCTTATTCCTTGGGGGCTATCTTTCATGGATATTCTATGATATAAATACCCTGGGTTGTGGCTCTCTTCTTGGTGGCTATTGTCCTAACTTCCTGGGTACACTGCCACTTAACCAGATCTCAGCTGTTTTGACTTGGAATATTATGCACACTGCATGGGTAGCACACCTCCAGCAGGGCTCTGCACCCTGGACAGATCTAACTCTGGACCTGTGTGGGTGGCTCTGTTTTCATGCCTGGGGCAGATGGGTGAAGATATTTTGGCTTCTGTGCATGGGGAGGCAGTATATTTTCTGCTACCGGCTTTACTCAGAGGGGCCTAATTTCAGTTTTCCGCATGTTGTATCTTGAGGCTTTTGCTGTCATTTGGGAGCAGATGTTGAAACCCTACCTTTGTTCCTGAGGCAAAGCTGTCATCTCTATTTTTTCATCCCCTCACTGTTCCCACCAAGAGCTTAACTTTAGCTTCTTCTTGCAATGTGTTCCTATATTCAATTTCTGCTCCTTGGAAATCTTACCCACCTTTTTTATGCTTAAGCTTGGCTGTATATTTTTCATTTATAGATATTGCCCGGTAACACTTTTTAAACTTTTATTTTAAATTCAGGGACACATGTGCAAGGTTGTTATATAGGTAAACTTGTGTCATGGGGGTTTGTTGTACAGATTATTTTGCTACCCAGATATTAAATCTAGTTATTTTTCCTGATCCTCTCCCGCTCCCACCCTCCACCCTCTGACAGGCCCCAGTGTCTATTTTTCCCCTCTGTGTGTCCATGTGTTCTCATCATTTAGCTCCCGTTTATAAATAAGAACATGTGGTATCTGGTTTTCTGTTCCTGCATTAGTTTGCTAGGGGTAATGGCCTCTAGATCCATCCGTGTTCCAGCAAAGGACATGATCTCATTCTTTTTTCGGCTGCGTAGTATTCCATGGTGTATATGTATCACATTTTCTTTATTCAGTCTACCATTGATGGGCATTTAGGTTGATTCCATGTATTTGCTATTGTGAATAGTTCTGTGTTTAACATAACTGTGCAAGTGTCTTTATGATAGAATGGTTTATATTCCTTTGAGTCTATACCCAGTAATGGGATTGGCCAGCCAACACTTAGCTATCCAAAAAGCAGGTGGTATAATCCCTAGTTACTTTTGCGTGCTTTTTTTCATCCCCTCTACTAGGATGATATATAGGATCCAAGACCCTATATATCTATTGGGTCTTGGATTTTTACATCTTTTTCCTGCCCATACTCTCTGATGACTTCTCTGAAAAGGACACTATGCCTTCAATTTGGATTTTGGCTTGTAATTTCTAGCTGTGAGACCAGTAATCCCTTCTCCTGACTTCAGGTGGGCATTGGTCCCTGTGCCCAATTATAGGGCCTATTCCCAAACATGGGCATATGGATTTTGCAGCCTCATCCCTGGGTCGGAACCATTGTCTCTGTATTTTTATCTGTGCCGTGAGAATACTTAGCCGATCAGCCTCTTTGCTCAGGCTTCAGAAAGATGTGTGGATGAGGACTTTGGAGAGACACTGGCTAATTCTGTGTTAATAGCTCCAATTCTCCTCTCTCAAATACCAATGCCTTTGTCCTAACATTATTGAAATGAGTAAAATGTTATTATGAAAACTGTATCCAGAGTGTGTTTAGATGGAACTAGAGGGGAGTATGTAAGTATGTTTGCAATCTGTTAGAGTAACCCAGATGTCTGTCATGTTTAAAACTTGGAAAATTTTACCTACTATCTGGATTAAGTGAGATGCTTTGGCAACTCTGAATCTGAATTCTTGCATGAAGAGGTTGGCTGGAGCAGGCAGCAGCTACCCTCTTCAGACTATATGTGTCCTCCCAGTTTTACACAGTTTCCAGGAGATTCACCTCATCTCACTCATTTACTGACCTGCCTGGGCTCTTTTGGCATCTGCATTTTTAACCTTGACAGGAACTTTGGTTTTTAATATTAGTGTGATTTAATTTCAGGCTGAGGAATCCCAGCGATGTTAGGTTTGCTTAAATCATTTGTAACTGAGATATGAGAACCAAATTTGCATTTTGGAAAGGTAGGACATAGTGTGAAAGGCGGTTTCACGAATTCTATATTAAATATCATCATTGTTAGTGCTTGACCTGGTTTAAATATTGAGTCACTGTTGGTATGTGTTACCTTGGAAGCTGAGTTTAGAACTAAAATAATGGGAAATACTACAGTTACGAATCAAAAAGGTTGACTTGCAGTCCTAATCTTGAAGACTTTGGGTAATGTAGAAGCAAATGAATATGAGAAATATGAGGCACTTAGAAATAGAAACAACTAAGATAAGAAAAGTCCCCACATATGACCAGCTGAGAAGTAGAGTACTTACTTGCGGTTCTCTGTGAAATTACTGAAAAATAAGCAAACAGAAATCCATTTAATTTTTCTCAAATAGAAAACACATAGTATTATCTAATATATTTTGCTGGAGTCTGTGAGGGGAGGACTTGGGTGGGCAGTGAAGGAGGTATTCCAAACCACCCTATAGATTATTTGGTTTTAGATTAGTTTTATAATGCAAAACTAGATGTAAGATTTAGCAGTGATGATGTAATGACGAAGTCAAAGGTAGAGTTTCCTTAAAGGCCCTCTCCACTTATTGGACCTGAACAGCTTTGGGCATAGTGTTGGGAAAAGACCACTGGATCCTTGCACTATAATGTTTGAAAGAACACTGAAGGTTTCTCTCCATTTAGACATCATTTTGGATTTCATCTCTCTCTCTCTTTCTCTCTCCACCCCCCTGAAAATTCCTCCTACTATGAAATAATATTTCATAGTATTGTTCAGTTTATTGTTGATGAATGCTAGCTTAGTCCCGCTTTTAATTAGTATTTTAAAAAAATTATAGGGCAAGCAGGGTAATAAGGAAGCAAGAGAAGAATGGGAAACTCAAATCACTTTGACAGAAGTGAAATGAAGGGGACCATAGAGAACCAAAGAAGAAAAAGAGATGTTATACTTACTTATGGGTGCCATGGGTGGACCTAAAAACCAAATTAGATATTGGTGAAGATTTCTTTGAAGGAAACAAGGTTCCCTCTAGGGAGGTATATTTGTGTAGGGGAGAAACTTGGACACCTTTCTGGGTCTAAATTATGATTCTATGACTATGTATTCTTGAGTAAGTATTTGGCTCAGTTTCTTATCTCTTACAAAGGGATTGGTGGAATTATTCTAAGGATTAAATGAGGTAATGTAATTAAAGCACTTAAATAGTTCTAGAGGAGATACAAAGTAAATATATGTTTGAAATTATGTAAATATAACTTCTTTCTCAGGGAGAAGCTGGATGAGCAGAAGGCAGAGGAAACTGGAAGCTTTGAGTCAGGTAGCTGCACACAGTTAGAAATGAGCAGGGTAGAGACAGGTCTCTAAGCCTTGCAGGGAACAACAAGAACAACAACAGAAAAGAGTAGAAAAAGAAATGGAACTTACCGCGGGGTGCTGAAGGTGGACCAGCTGAAAAACAGAGAGGTATCTTAGCAACTGTTTTTTCTCCCATGATATTTTCCTTTCTATGTAGAGAGTTTCTTCTTGGTAGGTCATTATAACAATAGGGAAAACTTTCCCTTTGGTATTCATTTATTTTTAATATGAATCAGCAGAATGTGAACTTTCAAAAAATCATTAATAACTTCATGGAATTTTGATGATAGGAAAGTAAGTGGTTAAAGTAGTATGCACCCCAAGCCTGGAAATCTTAGCTGTACCAGGGAAAGGAGAGATTCCAGAATCCTACGGTGGTGAAAACATGGACATACTGATGGCAAGTGAAATGAATCCAGCTTGCAACTAGACCAGAAACAATTATCTCCTTTTTCTTTCCCCATTGCTCAAATTGTCTTTCAGTTTGTTAAGTCCCTTGTAATATATCATTTTGACCTGCTGATAAACTTTCTCCCCTTCCCTTTATTTTTTAATAAAATAGTAAGTTTGATTTTTTCCATAGAGTTATTTAAAAGGTGAGAGAATGATGTGTCACATGAAAGCAAAACACGGAGGAAATAACAACTTAAAGTTGTTATTTAAAGTTTAGGCTTAAATCCTCTAAAGTCTCTAAAAGGTGATACAAATTTTTCTTAGATGTTTTGGAATTTAAATGTGGAAAAAAGAGACCAGATATGGCAGGAGGTTCAAATGAAAAAGGGTTATAGAAACTTCTTATCTACTCCTTTCTCTCCTACCATTTTTTCCCTTTTTAAGGTAGTCTCTTGTTGATGGGCTTTGAAATTTTGTAAAATTTTTTTCTCTGCTCTGACTTATCTCTTCCCTTTTTGCAGTGACTGGTAACTGCTTGAAATCCTGCAGGGGATTGTAAATTGATAGTCTTAAAACTTTCCAGTACATCATGAATAATGCAGAGAGGTTTTGATAATGAGACAGCAAGAGGCCAAGATATATCTCAAGCCCTTTGTATCCCAATATGGGCAGATAAAGACTCTTGGACTCCACTAGAGACCAACTGAGTCCTAAAGGAGAGAATTCAATGAACACATAGACTTACTGATTGTGTGAGGATGCGATCTGACTGAAAAACAAGCAAAGATACTTTTTGTTACCCCTTTCTTGTTTCTTTTCCTACTCATTTTTTTTTCTATTGGTAAATTTACTAGTGATATACTTGCTTGAACATTTTTTTTTAAATCAAAGGCACTAGAAATTTCCAGAAAACTAATTATCAGCTGGTTGAATTCTGGATAATGGAAAAACAAAAGGCTGAGAAAATAGAACTTCAAGTTCCATGTTGCAACTCAAGTTCCAATAGACATCAGTGGACTTTGATAAATGCACCACAGAGAAACAAATAAATAACTGACTAATTGCCTGTATAGATGACTTATCTAGAAAGCAGAAATGGATCTATATCATTTTTCTGTCATTTTTTTTCCTTCTGCATGGAAAGTTCCTAACATTCTTTAGAGTCATGTAAAAACTTTTTTCTCAGGTCTTTATTTTTTATGCGAGTCAGTGAATGTTCTAGAAACTTATTAATAATTTATTTATGCCTTTCTGCCCATGGATGCCACGGAAGAAGCATCATTAAAGTCTCTCTTCTCCTGGCCGTCTTATCTAAGTCAGAGTCTCCTAAAGAGCCAGAACAACTGAGGAAGCTCTTCATTGGAGGGTTGAGCTTTGAAACAACTGATGAGAGCCTGAGGAGCCATTTTGAGCAGTGAGGGACACTCCCGGACAGTGTGGTCATGAGAGATCCAAACCCAAGCGCTCCAGGGGCTTTGGATTTTTCACATATGCCACTGTGGAGGAGGTGGATGCAGCCGTGAATGCAAGGCCACACAAGGTGGATGGAAGAGCTGTGGAACCAAAGAGAGCTGTCTCAAGAGAAGATTCTCAAATACCAGGTGCCCACTTAACTGTGAAAAAGATATATGCTGGTGGCATTAAAGAAGACACTGAAGAAATCACCTAAGAAATTATTTTGAGTAGTATGGAAAAATTGAAGTGATTGAAAACATGACTGACCGAGGCAGTTGCAAGAAAAGGGGCTTTGCCTTTGTAACCTTTGATGACCATGACTCCGTGGATAAGACTGTCATTCAGAAATACCACAGTGTGAATGGCCACAACTGTGAAGTTAGGAAAGCCTGTCAAAGCAAGAGATGGCTAGTGCTCCATCCAGCCAAAGAGGTGGAAGTGGTTCTGGAAACTTTGGTGGTGGTCATGGAGGTGGTTTCGGTGGGAATGACAACTTTGATCATGGAGGAAACTTCAGTGGTTGTGGTAGCTTTGGTGGCAGCTGTGGTGGTGGTGGATATGGTGGCAGTGAGGATGGCTATAATGGATTTGGTAATGATGGGAGCAATTTTGGAGGTGGTGGAAGCTACAATGATTTTGGCAATTACAACAATCAGTCTTCAAATTTTGGACCCATGAAGGGAGGAAACTTTGGAGGCAGAAGCTGTGGCCTCTATGGTGGTGGAGGCCAATACTTTGCCAAACCATGAAACCAAAGTGGCTATTGTGGTTCCAGTAGCAGCAGTAGCTATGGCAGTGGCAGAAGATTTTAATTAGGAAACAAAGCTTAGCAGGAGAGGAGAGCCAGAGAAGTGACAGGGAAGCTACAGGTTACAACAGATTTGTGAACTCAGCCAAGCACAGTGGTGGCAGGGCCTAGCTGGTACAAAGAAGACATGTTTTAGACAAATACTCATGTGTATGGGCAAAAAACTCGAGGACTGTATTTGTGACTAATTGTATAACAGGTTATTTTAGTTTCTGTTCTGTGGAAAGTGTAAAGCATTCCAACAAAGGGTTTTAATGTAGATTTTTTTTTGCACCCATGCTGTTTATTGCTAAATGTAATAGTCTGATCGTGACACTGAAAAAAATATATATTTGTGTTCTGAGTAATGGAAAAATAAGGGACCAAGGAAATTGGAACATTATCATATCACAATGTGGATGCATACATTTTGGCTTAAGATATGTTAGACACTGCTGGAGATAATTGAGTTTCACTCATGAAGGGAAATGGTCAAACTTACAAGAGGATCCTGTAGCTGAAAAACAAAGATAAATCAACGTGTACAGCCTGCTGAAAGAGGAGCTAGTTTTCGTACTACTTTCCTGAAAGGAAATATCAGAAATGGCAATGGAAGAAACATCCTTCTTAGGGCAAGGGCATAGAGCGCTGTGCTGGGGAATATACCTGCCATCATGCCTTGTGGGGATTCTGCCTTCTGCTTAGTATAGGAGGCTGCAGGAAAGGGAGATGATTGATCTCTTCCCTTTTTGCAGTGAGTGGTTACTGCTGGAAATCCTGCGGGGGATTGGTAATTTCTTTAAACTGTGCTGCCTTTACCTTTCTTCTCCCTATTTCTGCCATCCTGTGAAAGCTTTCATTTATTCATACAAATATCCTTCCCTTCCCTTGTTGACAAGTCACTATAAACTTCGGGTAGTTTCCGAACTTTATCTCTCTATTTTGGGTTTGGTATTCTCCTTTATTCATTCCTTATAGGAGTGGAGCAGCAGCTAAATAGAGGAATAAGCAAAAGAAATGAAGAAATGTGAGTTTCTACACACACAAGACAGAAATGAGCAAAGAGGAAAAGTATGCCAGGCCCTATAGGAAGCCAAAGGCAGCTATCATACAATAGACATGGAACTTAACCAGTCATTTCTGAAGTTTCATCTGGTGGTAAAAAACGGAAGGAACACAAAATGGAGAAATCAACATGTGTAGAACCAAGTGAATTCAGTTCTCCCTTGATAGGCTTAAAGAGGGTAACTGCAGAGAGGATATGGGGGGCCCTAAAATCTGACAGCTCAGTGCATGTCCGGCCTTACGTGCCTTACTTTGTGCTTTGTAGCCTCAGACCTGTTTCTGCTGGTCTGAGGCAGGAGATTGGCTATAAAGTGGTAAAGTGAGGCTTTGTTCTTCCTTCTCATTTCATTTAGGAACAGTAAATGCTTGAAACACTTCTAGAGGTTCATAATGTCTTAAACTTATATGTACTTTTGTCAGTCTCATTTTCTTTTTCTTTTATTTTCTTTCTTTCTTTTTTTTTTTTTTCTTTTTGAGACAGAGTCTTGCTCTGTTGCCCAGGCTGGAGTGCAGTGGCATGACCTCAGCTCACTGCAACCTCTGCCTCCCAGGTTCAAGCGATTACAGGTACCTGCCACCAAGTCTGGCTCATTTTTGTAGGTTTTTTTTTTTTGAGACGGAGTCTTGCTCTGTCACCCAGGCTGGAGTGCGGTGGCGTGATCTCGGCTTACTGCAAGCTCTGGCTCCTGGGTTCATGCCATTCTCCTGCCTCAGCCTCCCGAGTACCTGGAACTACAGGCACCCGCCACCATGCCCGACTTATTATTATTATTATTTTTTTGTATTTTTAGTAGAGACAGGGTTTCACTGTGTTAGCCAGGATGGTCTCCATCTCCTGACTTCGTGATCTGCCCGCCTTGGCCTCCCAAAGTGCTGGATTACAGGCGTGAGCCACCAGTGCGCCGGGCCTAATTTTTGTATTTTTAATAGAGGCGCGGTTTCATCATGTTGGCCAGGCTGGTCTTGAACTACTGACCTTAAGTGATCTGGCCCACGGGGCCTCCCAGAGTGCTGGGATTATAGGCGTGAGCCACTGCGCCCGGCCTCATTTTTTTGTGTGTGTGTTTTTGAGACAGAGTCTCGTTCTGTCGCCCAGGCTGAAGGGCAGTGACACGATCTCGGCTCACTGCAACCTCCACCTCCCGGGTTCAAGCGATTCTCCTGCCTCTGCCTCCTGAGTAGCTGAGATTACAGGCGTGCACCACCACGCCCAGCTAACTTTTGTATTTTTTTTTTTTAGACAGAGTCTCACTCTGTCACCCAGGCTGGAGTGCAGTGGTGAGATCTCGGCTCACTGCAATCTCCACCTCCCAAGTTCAAGTGATTCTCCTGCCTCAGCCTCTCAAGTAGCTGGGACTACAGGCATGCGCTACCATGCCTGGCCAATTTTTTGTATTTTTAATAGAGACGAAGTTTCACCATGTTGGCCAGGCTGGTCTTGAACTTCTGACCTCAAGTGATCCACCCACCTTGGCCTCCCAAAGTGCTAGGATTACAGGCATGAGCCACCTTGCCTGGCCAAATTTTTGTATTTTTAGTAGAGACGGGGTTTCACCATGTTTGTCAGGCTGGTCTCGAACTCCTGACCTCGTGATCCACCTGCCTCGGGCTCCCAAAGTGCTGAGATTACAGGCATGAGCCACCATGCCTGGCCCTGGCCTCATTTTCTTTAGTCACTCTTGTTCACTAACCTTTTAATTAATTAATTATATTTAAGAGGTACAAGTACAGATTTCTTATGTCATATATGGCATAGTGGTGAAGTCTGGGCTTTTAGTGTACCCATTACCCAAATAGTGAATATTCTACCCAATAATTTTTATTGACTTGAAAAGCTTTCTTCCTACTCTTCTTTACTAGGGCTGTTGGGAGCCACTAATTTTTGTTAAAGTCATTTAAATTTTAATCAGTTCATTTTGCACTTTCTCCAAATCGCTTATAACTTAGGGGAAAGCTAGAAAGGAATAAAATAGCAATATATTTTTCATTTATACACTATCATATTTTTAAATTGTTTACACATAAGGGAGAGGGAGTCAAGCGGGGAGAAAAGGGAAAGGGAATTCATGTATCCATGTAGATTCTCTGGCACATGGTGGCTATTAGGGAACTGTGGACCAGATGTGACCCTTCCTTTAGCCCCAGTGAGTTCCTCTGAGGTGAGCTGGCTTATGTTTATCCCCCCTGTAATAATTATGAGAACTTCCAAGGCTATAAGTCTTGGCAATCTGTGAGTACTGAGAAAAGCAGTCTTGATTCAGGGGAATAGTCAATAACAAATGGCTCTTATTCATTCACAAAAAGGATAGTTAGAACCAGAATTCAGGGCAGTAAATATCCAGTTTTAATGGTCATAGTGTGGCTGTATGGGATGCTGCCTGCCCTCTACACATTTTGGGTTTGTTTTCCCAAGTTATCTTATAGGACTGTAAACTCCATGGCATCAGTGACCAACCATATCTTTCTCTCCCTTATTCATGACTTTATCCTCAGTGCTCAGCTTAGTATCAGATACATGGTAGGAGCTCAGCTAGATGAAGGAATGTTTGTTTGAATATATGTGACTTGCCCTCTGATAATTCTTCCTGCTTGACTTAAACTTTCTAATGCTATCCCTTAATTTCTAGATTCAGAATTTCCCGTGTCCTGGGGTTGGTTCGATGCCCTAGTTTGTCCCTAGCTCGTCACAATATGAACTTTCATTTTATTCTCTTCCATATGTGATGCTTCTGCCAGTTCCTGTAAATTACAGCCCAATTACTGTTATATCCTGTTCCATGAGGTGCTCTGTCCTATCTTTCTTTTCCTCTCTGTCGTGCGTGTGTGTGCGCGCGCGCACGTGTGTTGGGGATGTTTGGAGATAGTGAGCCGGATAGGACATGAGGAAAGAGAAAGGCCTTTGGAGAGAAGACTGGAGAACTCAGGTTAGACTAGACCCTGCATAGTATTTCCTGTTAAATTTTATTGTCTTTTCTCCCTTTTGTATTTATTCTTAAAATTTGATTTTCTTTTCTCATTTCCTCCTCATTGTCTCCTCCATTATCTTTGAGTAGGCCCTTTAGAAACTACAAAGCACTTCAGAACTGGAAAGCTGCCCTTATTATTCTCTCTCTGCTACTTTAGAAAATTCTTGTATATTGTTATAGAAGACATTATGACTATTTCTGGGGACATTTTCTTACTCTTTTTCTTTTAAAAAAAATAGCCCTGGAGAATTCTCAGTAGGTTGAAATCAGGAAGCATAAAAACATGTGTAAAATAACTGCTCTTATGGCAGTGAGACACATCTAGGGCATTTGAGACAGGGAACAGGCCCTCTAGACACTGTAGAAGATCAAGGAACCTGGAGGGAGAAGGATAGATAAGGTACTTACCATTGGGTCCAGGATATTGTACTAAAAAATAGAAACAAACAAATTAAACACACACACACACACACACACACACACACACACACACACTTCTATTTTTTGAGACAGAGTCTCTCACTCTGTCGCCCAGGCTGGAGTGTGGTAGGGTGATCTTGGCTCACTGCAACCTCCACCTTCTGGGTTCAAGGGATTCTCGTGCCTCAGCCTCCTGAGTAGCAGGGATTACAGGTGCCCGCCACCATGCCTGGCTATTTTTTGTATTTTTAGTAGAGATGGGGTTTCACCGTGTTGGCCAGGCTGGTCTCGAACTCCTGACCTCAGGTGATCCTTGGCCTCCCAAAGTGCTGGGATTACAGGTGTGAACCACTGCGCCTGGCCCCAAAACACCTCTATTAGTGATATTTTCCAAAGGCAAGCAGTGAAAATGATTTTCTCAGGAATTACTAAATCTCAGTATTCAGGATTAAATATTTTTCACTGCACTGCTGCTGTACTCTAGCCTCTCCATAAGAACCAGATCTTCTTTTAGGAGATTATTAACCCTGTTTTAGCATAACCACTTCATTCTTGCTTTTCATTATAGGTGTTGGAGATGAGATCCTTAATTGTATTCCTTTCCCCATATTCCCCCAGTGTTTTTCCTCAGATCACTCTGTTTCACTCTCAGCTATCTTTATGTTCTTGTTCATTTCTTATATTCTTTTCCAGATTCGATTACACCTTTGCCTTAGGAAGTTATTCTAATGATTACTGACAAGCCACTATAATCATTATTAGAACAATGCCTATCTATTATGAATTTTAAGGTAATGGAATTTCCATTTTCTAAAATATAATTGGTTGCCCAGAGAGATGGTTAGTGTTAATCCAAACTGCACCATTTTGTAAGCCTCCAGCAATTTGAAGACCTTGGTAAAAGTGAAACATTCCACGGGGGTTCGGGCTGTGAGAAACATTCTGCCTAACCACCTGAACACAAGGTGGACAAAGGGCCAACTAAAGAAACATCCCTGTCATATTCAGCTGGGAGAAAGTGCAAGGAACACTACATTCTGCAGGAACAAGGGCCAGAACCCCCTCATCATGGGAACATCTTATCAATATCCTGCCGGCCAGCAAGCCATACTACCCAGACCCCTCCCGCCTATACCTATAAGTACCCCCAGCCTGTAAGCAGCAGTGGGCACTGGCATTAGGCTGGTTCCCCACTTCTGTAGGTCTTATGCTGGACATAAAGCCTACATTTGCTGTACAGCCGCCACTCTCTCTGTGTCTTTTCTTTAACCCTCGCCTTCCCTCCAAAACCTAACAGTTACGATATGGGGAAATGAAAGTCTAAGAAATATGATTTTCAACTTCTTTAACCCAGATACTTAAACAGTTGGAGCCAGTCTCCTTCAGACATAGTAAGAAGCCAGTAGAGATAAGTTGATATATACAGGCAGCTTACCAATAGGTCCTGGAGTTTGCACTAAAAAGAAATTCAAATTGGCATATTAGTACAGTTATTTGTAGAGTGTATTTTTCACTAATTTTATCCTAGAAGTGAGGCTTTGAGAGGTAGAGCAGGGGAGAGGAAGTGATATCAGTTATGAGATCATTAGGGAGACTTAATCCAACTATATTAACTATAGAAAAAAGGAAAAAGGATATTTAGCATTTACTGCAATATTTCAGCCCAAGGTGAAGGTTTTTATAGGATCCTTGCCAACCTAAGGGATACTAGGGAAAGGCAAAACTTTGTTATTAGGTATTAACATTACTGATGGTAGGGAAAGGTGAAACACTTCCTGTCAGTAAGAGTAGAAGATATTTCTTTCTCAAGGGACTGTTCTTTCACTAAAATCTTTATTTCTGATCAACTAATATGTTCCAGAGGTAGACATTAGAATAGGAGGTAAGAATCTAGTTTCTTCTTCTCACAGCTTCCAGCTTATTGGAGAGTGATAGAGCAGTGACTGCTGCTTTGATTAGCTTTAGAGTCTGTGAGCAAAGAGTCAACAAAACCTTCTGGTTTTTTTTGTTTTGTTTTGTTTTGTTTTTTGAGATAAGGTCTCACTCTGTCACCCAGGCTGGAATGCAGTGGTGCAATCCTAGCTCACTACAGTCGCGACCTCCTGGGCTCAAGTGATCCTCCCACCTCAGCCTCTTGAGTAGCTAGGACTACAGCTGCATGCCACTATTCCTGGCTAATTAAAAAAATTTTTGTAGAGATGGGGTCTTGCTCTGTTGTTGCTCAGGCTGATCTTGAACTCCTGGTCTCAAGTGATCCTCCTGCCTTAGCCTCCCAAAGTGCAGAAATTACAGGTGTGAGCCCATGCCTGGCCAAAACCTTCAGTTTTTAATGAGAATTTGGCCTTCAGTTGATTTTCTAGCTCTGATCGCCTGGTGACCTGATAAATATCGAAAGCCTGTTATGTTTTTTTTGTTGTTGTTTTTTTTTTAGACGGAGTCTTACTCTGTCGCCCAGGCTGGAATGCAGTGGCACGATCTCGGCTCACTGCAACCTCTGCCTCCTGGGTTCAAGCGATTCTCCTGCCTTAGCCTCCTGAGTAGCTGGGACTGCAGGCGCACGACACCACACCCAGCTAATTTTTGTATTTTTTTAAGTAGAGATGGGGTTTCACCATATTGGCCAGGCTGGTCTCAAACTTCTGACCTTGTGATCCCCTGGTCTTAGCCTCCCAAAGTGCTGGGATTACTGCACCCAGCCGAAAGCCTGTTATGTTATTTAGCAACACTGCTTACATAAGAATGATCCTTGATGTTAGACTGCATCTGAACTGGGAGAATTGTAAATATGTATTAAGAAGCCATAACTTTGGGCTTCCCTGAGTGTAGTGACCCATGTATTTGGTCATATTCCTTACGGGATCCCTGCAGGTAATGTGTATGGGGTTCTTATAGGAGATTTTAGTTCCTGGTGGACCTGTGGGGTTTCTAAGCTAGGTCAGCTCCCAATTCAACTGACAGAAGGCCAAACAGAATAGGTCCTAGGTGGCTATGTGGACCTAGCATAGATCATGGCGAGTACTACTCCCACAGCAGAGGGATAGCTGTTAATGCCCTTGCTGGCAAACTGTGCTTCCTGCCTTAGGTCCTACTGAGTAGACTGTTCCCAGATGAGAGCTATGGTAATCTTCTAAGTCTGCATGGTTAGTTGAATCTAAAAAGACCATATCTTCACCCAGTGGGCATTGCAGTTAATAATCCTTCACTTCAGTGTCACTCAGAATGAGAAATATCCACATTTTGATCAATAATCCTCGAACTTTTAACTCTGAATTTTTTTTTTCCTGTGTAAAACACCTGGAAGATGGCTTTCCAGATCTGGATACCCTTGGCTATGAGCAGTAAACCAGTTACACATTTAGATATTATGCTAACTTAATAGTTGCTTTGCCTGTATCTACAAATATGTATCTTTGATTCTGAAGTAGAACTCTTATGATACCTGCCCTCTTGACATAAGTTACTAAATCCTTGGATAGGTGATCACTTCAAAATTTTGTTTCTTCAGTTTTTCTATATTTTCTTCCTTCCTTTCCGGTTTCAATTTGTGACTTTTTGTACCTTTATTTTTATTCTCTTTCTCAACATACTCATTTCCCTTCTTTATTCTCTTATGTGCCAATTCACTTACTCTTTCTGCTTCCAATTTTCTTCCTACTTTTGTTCTTTTTCAATTTTCTCCTATTTATCTCTTTCTAAACTGCATCTTCATTCTGTATCTGTTATTATTTGTGTTACTCATTCTCTCACTTTTTCTCCTCTAGGCCTTTACTACCCTTTAATCTCAATATTAGAACTTCATTTTATTCATTGTTAATAACCTGTTATAACACCCAAAAATGATAGTGGAAAGAATGAAGAGTTAGTAAAACTTCAGTCTTAATTTTATTAACTAACCCATCCTCTTATTTTTTTGAGAAATGACTCCTGACCCTCAGTTTCCTCATCTCTAAATATGGGGATAATAACTGCCTTACTCATTGCCATTTGAATGTTGTTTAGATGCAACAAAGTAATGTACGCGAGGGTTAAAAAAACAGTAGTAAGACATTATAGGGATCACTCAAAGAATGTGACTAGGTTGCTAAAAGTTGCTGAAAATAGAGCCTAACTCTTCTGGAGAGAACTTTTCAGGGCAATTAGAAAGGAAAGGAAGGCCAGGCGCGGGGGCTCACGCCTGTAATCCCAACACTTTGGGAGGCTGAGGCGGGCGGATCACGAGGTCAGGAGATCGAGACCATTCTGGCTAACAGAGTGAAACCCCATCTCTACTAAAAATACAAAAAAATTAGCCGGGCGTGGTGGTGGGTGCCTGTAGTCCCAGCTACTCGGTAGGCTAAGACAGGAGAACGGCGTGAACCCACGAGTTGGAGCTTGCAGTGAATGGAGATCATGCCACTGCACTCCAGCCCGGATGACAGAGCGAGACTCCATCTCAAAAAAAATAAAGAAAGGAAACTTAAAATTTGCATTATTTTACAAAGTGAAGATAATCTAATAATGGAAAAATTATTTGCATGGAAAGCACAGCAGGAAGTTTAGGTGCTGGGTTCTAAGTCTTTATTAAGTATTGGCTCTACAGAGCTAGATTATATGCTGAAGTGGAAACAGCTTAGGACCATCTCTAGCAGGATATTTTTCACTTTGCATTTCAGCTTCATAGTTAATATATTTTTATTGCAGAACCTGGATGAATCCAATCTGGAGTACTGGGTGAGATTATGAGGTGGCAGAAGGACTTGATCCTTGAGTCCTTGGGCATGAATAATTGAAATAAAAATAGATTGATGTTCTAAGTAAAGTACTAAAAGGCATTATAATTGAGAATCAGATGACTTACCAATGGTTTTTTGAGAGAGCTCTAAAAAAAAAAGAGAAAAGAAATCAGTAGCTATATATATATTTTATATATACTTTTTATTTATATACTTTAATTTGTATACTTTCCCTAGTAGGAATCTGCATCACTATTGTCAAGTTCAGCTGCAGTTGAGTAGTAGAAATGGTGACTTTCTTGCTATGGCAAACTAGTACATATAAGGGCCTCCTCATCTAAAAATCCCTTGTGTGATGCTGAGAAGCCATTGGAAATCTGCAAGGGTTCATTCTCCACTTTGTAGTTTGTTTTTATTGGTGAAGTGTACATTCACACAGCTAATCATGACTTACTGAAATGCTAGGTTGAAGAAAAATAAGGGTTGAAGAAAATGTGAACTCCAAACCCTTGAAATCCCAACATGGAAACCAGGTAGCGATCCCTAAGATACTGCAGGAAAGTAAAATGCTCACTGTGGAGAAACAGAGAGCAAACTTACTGATAGGTCCTGTAGCTCCGGCTGTGAGAGAGAAAGAGGGAGAAAGAAAAAGATATCAGTATGCTTCACCACTGTGAAGGAAATTTCCATTTCCCAACACTCGCTCTAGGGAGTATCATAAATAGAAACAACGGGAAGATCAAGAGTTGCTTGTATGGCGAGCCTCAGGCAGGCTCCCTGCACAATATAAGGGACCTACAGGAATGGAGGCCTCCTCCTGCTTTCAGTGATGGTTGAAAATCTTCAGAGGGTTGGGAAAGACTCACTCCATATTAATCTGTTATGCCTCTATTTTTCTTCTTACATTTTCTTGCCCCTTGCCCCTAGTTTCCTTAGAGACATAGTTTATTTGAAAGGTGTACCTTCCCTTGCTGATGGATCATTATGACTATTTCTAAGAGGGCTGTTTTGGTTTATATTTTTAAATGTTAGCCTGTGAGATTTCTTAACACTTCGTGCATGGCCTCTTTGGAAACTATGTAATAGGAATGCCAGGGGAGTTGAGAAAGACAGTGTTAAAAAAGCAAGTCACCGCTAAACCTCAGCATCACACAATATACCCATTAGCAAACCTGCATATGCACCACCGGAATCTAAAATAAAAGTTGAAATTATTTTTAAAAATGCAGGGCAGATCAGGCCCCAAGACCTTGTAGGTCAGATATCAAAGGGACCAGAGTGGAAAAACAAACTTGATACTTACGAATAGGGGCTGTGAATTGCACTGAAATACAAAAAGGAGGAAAGTGTGGTTTGACATTAATAGAATTTTCATTTTACCAGTATTGTTTCTAAAGAAACTATGAAGCAATTCAACCAGAGGAGAACAACTACTGTGGGACTGCAGATGATCTTAGCCTGGAAGCTGCATAACCCTCCTACCAGATCAAATCATTCAGCATCCATCTTAAATGAGAAATTTAAGTAACTAAAAATAATAAATATAAATAATTAAAATAAACTACAGTTTTAAACATGAATTATTTGGCTTTCCCTTGTCCTAAACTCAGTAGCAATTCAGGATATTGTGTCTGATTGCTTGGGCATCAGAAGGTGTCAGAAATTTGAATACAATTAAGAAGTATGAGTGAGAAATCCTGCAGGGGTAGAAATGGTAACAGTTAGGATGTGGAGAGGACCCTATATCCTACAGAAGGCCAAAGAACATTAGAGGAAACAGAAAAGGAACTCACTTATAGGTCTAATAGTTCCAGTTAAAATATGGAAAAAACAAAATAGAACTAATGAGAAAATACTGTTTGCATTTAAATTCTTCCTGGGAAAACATCACAAATGTAGACACCAGGAGCAAAATTTCCACTTCAGTGGAGGAACAAATAAAGTTTATAAATGCTTCTTTCTTCATCTTGGAGGATCCCGGTTACTGGTGGAATCTGCCAGCTGGAACTGTGGAGACGCACATTTGGTCAGGCAGTGTTCCTTCCCCTTTCCTGACGGGTGTCCTGCTTGTATCTCAGGAGATTACACAGGCCATTGCCTGTCTTCCAGCTGGCTAATTTGAACTTGCTTAGCTAGAATCTATAGCCTCATCTGAAGGAGACAGTGGGAATTGCTGTCTCTGTAGTGATTTTGGCCCTTATTCAACAGAGTAACTTGGCCTGCCATGTAAAAGGGAATAGAAACTGCTAGGTTGACTTAAGACATTTATAGGTATGAGTGGTGGGCAAAGGAATTGAGACACTAGACCCACATACTTGTTAATAATGCAGTAACAGTCTTCTTCTTTATGACCACACACACACATACACATACACACACACACACCCCACCACACCTCTCTACACCTCATAGGCTATAAGTGATTCTCTCACCTTGGCCTCCCAAAGTGCTGGGATTACATGTATGAGCCACTGTGCTTGGCCTAATATGTGCTTTTATGATACCTACCCAGTATTTGCTCTCAAAGTTTGACTTGATTATTTTAATAATGTTCCATTTGTGTAAATACTCCAAGAGGAGTAGACACAGGATGTGATATAACATGAGCTTTAATTATCAAATCACTTTTTTTCTCCTTCCTTCAGAGTTAGTCCTGTCTCAGGGGCTCAAGCTCTGAACATCCTCAAAAATGAAGGATAGAAATGTGTTAAGAAGTGAATGAAACCCTGATGAGTTTCATCTTTCTTGTCTTTGGCTTTAAGGTCACTCTTGGTGTGGGGAATCTGCAGGGCTGGAAAAGCTGGTTAAATTTGGACCAAGTGCATTCATCTTTTTATTTCCTCTCTCAGGGCAGAGAATTAAAATCCTGTAGAGCAATGGTTCTTAAACTTTGGTATGCACGCAAATCACCTGGGAATCTTATTAAAATGCAAAGTCTGATTTAGTAGGTCGGGGTGGGCAATAGGCTGAGACTCTGCATATCTAAAACTCCAGGGTGACATTGATGCAGGCCCTTGGACCCACTTTAAGCATCAAGGCCATAAAGGGCTGGCAAAATCTCAGATCATATAAAAGTCATTGTTTCCATTTACCATTTTTTTTCCTTTTTAAATCAACTTCCTCTCACTTATTCCTTATTCTCTATTCCCAACCAGTGCTTCTTCCAGAGATACATGCTACAGTTTCATTTAAAATTCTATCTGGATACTTATTTCAGATTTATTCTTTGTTCATAACAGGGGATATACATCCCACACAAACATCAGTGACAGTCTGGGATCCTCGGTCAGTGAGCTGGGACTCACTGCATGTCACTGAAATTTTCTTGGCGGGTCTTAAGTAGAATGGCCACCATCAAGCCTCTTTCTTTGAGTGTTACTGGGTTTTCTCACAGGGGAATCTTTCTTCCTTTCACTTGACCATTTTTTGTTCTTCACTCTTTTCCCTTTGCTGTTGAATCTCAAGATTTCGGAAAAGTTAAAGGCAATAGTACTTTCTTACAGAGGCACCCCAGTTTATTAAGATAAGAATAGGGAATAAACAAGGGGAAAGGAATGGACAATTTGTGAATAAAAAAATCTAGGAATATGAGTGTCTTACATATTCTAACAGTTTAGTAAAGCAAAGCACATGAGAATTAAAGGGCAGAAAAAGAACTTACTCATGGCTCCTGCAGTTCTGGCTAAAATACAAACAAAAAAGGTGAGTTTGAAGAGAGCATGACTCAAGGGTGTTTATCTCAGGGAGTTTCAGATCAAGCATTTACTACATATTTGATTTACATGGAAAGGCAGCAAGAAGGTAAGTAGGCATTTTCCTTTTTTCCTTAGGAGACTGTTAAAATCATACTCCCTGCAGTTATTTTTCTTATTCTTAATTTTCATTATCTTCCTGCTGTCAAATCCTTCTAAAGGTTATAGATAATTTTCCCTGGCCCCAGAATCTTTTTCACAATTTCATTAATTAATCTAGTTTTTATTATAAGAATTTCCACTTTGTTAAATGAAAAAATTAATCAGTCACTTAGAGGATCTTGAAATCAGCCTCAAATTCCTCACACTGGTAAAAGAGAGAACAGTAAAATTGCAAGTTTTTCTCCTTTCCTCCATCTTTATGTGCTTTCTCACCACCTTCCCCATTCCTCTGGTAGCAGGCACATTATAGAAGATCAAAATCATTACACATGGTATGCATGTATCAAAATATCACATGTATCCCATAAATTTGTACAATTATTAGGTGTCAGTAAAAAAAGGACTGAGTTGTATATATGGGAAACTTACAAGGAAGTTCTTCAGTTGTTTGTAAACATTTTATACTACCTATAATAAAAATTGAAAAGTGTAACATTACTTAGATTTAGACTTTCAGAAGGCATGGAGATAGACAATCCCATTCCCTCCTCCCCCTCCTCAGGTGTGGTACAAACAGTCTTGAGGTTAAAGAGCTGAGTCCGACTTTTGCTATTCTCTAGCTCTGTGATTTTGGGCAAGTCACTAAATGTTTTGAACATTAATTTCCTCATCTCTAAAACAGAAGTTGTGTCCTCTGTCTTACCTATATTGTGAAGTTGCAGTGAAAAATCAGGAGTAATAACAGAAGGGAAAGATGAAAAGTTGTATTAGAAATGTTATGGAAAGAAATATTCAGTAACTATAAATGAATGAAACACTTCGGCAAAGTAGTAAGCTACTTTATATTTTACTTTTTTCTGCTTTAATTTTTCCTCTTATTTCTGACTGTCCTTTGGAAAGTTCTGAGTCCTGACAGCAGAGCATTATAATGTGCACTTAATTCTGTTTTTATTTTTGATTTATTAATTTCTGTTATTTTAATCTTTAAAACAACCCTATCTTCTTGTGTACCTTAGTACCTTAATTATGTCATTTTAATCTCTGTTGCTTCTGTCTTGAGAAATAACCAATCATATTTTAAGATGTTGAAAATTTTGCAATTTTTTTTCTTAAAGTAATTGAATAATTTGTTTCCTTCTTTGTGTATAATTATTTTTCCCTTATTTGTTACTTTGCTGTTTTGGGGAGGGAAATAGTAGCTTTCCCCAGAAATGACAGGATCTACCCTCAGCATTTGGGAAGAGATGTCTGTTTTTCTATGTGGTATTTTAGGCCGTCAATCACTGAACTGTCAGTTTCTTGAGAAGGTGAAGCCACTCCTACCACCAAATAAAGATAATTTTAAAAGGACAGTTTTCATATACTTAATTTTTTAAGATTTAAGATATTAACCTATGGTAGGAGTGACAAGTATACTTGAGTTATGCATATTTAATTTTGATCAATTATTAATGACTATCTGGAGATGACAAGAATTTTAGGATACATGTGAGCTGAGCAGGAAAGAGAATCATGATCAATTACTGATTTCTGCCACAGGCAAAGGCATGAGCAGAAATGTAACACAGGTCATATATATTCCATTCCTGACCTAAAGTAATATGGAATAATGAGGAGAAAGGAATTTTTCTTTCTTTTTTTTTTTTGAGACAATCTCTCTCTGTCACCCAGACTGGAGTGCAGTGGCACAGTCTCAGCTCACTGCAACCTTCACCTCCTGGGTTGAAGTCATTCTTGTGCCTCGGCCTCCTGAGTAGCTGGGATTACAGGCATGTGCCACCACGCCCGGCTAATTTTTGTATTTTTAGTAGAGATGGGGTTTCACCATGTTGGCCAGGCTGGTCTCAAACTCCTGGCCTTGAGTGATCCCCTCACCTCGGCCTCCCAAAGTGCTGGGATTACAGGTGTGAGCCTCCATACTGGGCCAAGAAAGGAAATTCTTGAACTGAGTATTTTGTGGCGTTTCCCAGCTGAAGACAAATAAGCAGGGCAGTGGAAGGTATTTACTTGTTGCCTTACAGAGTAAAGAAGAAGATAAAAAAAACTTACGATGTACTTATCCTGCCAAAATACTGAATATTGTGTGTTTTGGATTAAGGACATTGTCTCTGTGGATATTCTTCCTAATGGGAGCATCAGAGTTAGTTCTTTTAGAGAGTACCACATTTTCCATACCAGACAGAATTCCTGATTATCTCTGTGGGGATCGATCACAAACTCAGTTGCATTAAGGGGCCCAGCAGGTCTCATGATTGTGAATCTGCTAGTTATAAGGGATAGAGATGGTGAAAAGTCCATGCCCTACCCAGAGGCATTCAAATTCAAAATTTAAAATAATACCATCCTGACGAAACAAAACACATCTATAGGTGGCACTGGGCTAGTGGTGGCTAATTTGGGAGCTCCGTTTTCAGATGAGAAGAGATTTAAGTGAGCACCATCTATACTTCAACAACAGTGCACTTTGAAATCAGTATCATATGGTTGCGGCCTGAGTTGGGATAGGGCAAGTGAATCCCTTCCTTTTCGTTACTTTAAGGATAGGTATTGGTTGGATCACATTTAATTAAAACCTGTGAGTAATAAACTTGTTCAGATTGTGAAGCATCTGGAAGTTTTGATACCTTTTAGAAAAAATAATGAAATATGATATATTTAATTCCATCTTTGAACAAGAAACAACTTTGCTAGTAGGAAATGTGACCCTAATATGCAACCACAAATGTAATAGTCAGTATGAAAACTTTTGTAGGAAAAGCACATAGATCAGAAAAAAAACCCTGTCCAGTCAGGATTATCTGTTTTGGATTTTTTGCCGATTTCCTCACTTCCCTCCTCCTCATTCCTGTCACAGTCTTCCCTTCATTTAGAAAATGTGTTCTTTTTTTTTTCTTTTTGACAATCAATTGAAATCAGTTTCAGAAGGTTTATTTAAACTTTACCTCTTTGGTTTTCCTCCCTTCTCCATTCATTTTTTCCAGCTTCCCTCACTTCTCTGTTCTTTTTTTTTTTTTGAGATGGAGTCTCACTCTGTCACCCAGGTTGGATGGCAGTGTTGCGATCCTGGCTCACTGCAACCTCCTCTCCCAGGTTCAAGCAATTCTCCTGCCTCAGCCTCCCGAGTAGCTGGAATTACAGGAGCATACCACCACGCCCAACTAATTTTGTATTTTTGGTAGAGACGGGGTTTCAGCAGGCTGGTCTCGAACTCCTGACCTCAGGTGATCCACCTGCCTCAGCCTCCTAAAGTGTCATGATTACGGGCGTGAGCCATGGTGCCCAGCCTCTTCTCTGTTCTTTTATTTGATTAATTTTCAACTGGTTGTTGAAATTAGTTATGTAACGGACTTGAAATTTTAATGAGAGATTAAATAACTTGCCTATGTTCAAATAAATAGTAAGTAGGGAGCTGGGATACAACTCCAGTTAGCCTGGCTCTAGAGTCTGCATGCTTAACTGCTAGGCAATAGTCCTCTGTAAATTGAAAATAATTAACAAGCAAATTTATTTTAAAAGTGATTTTTTAGTAGGTCTTATTATATTATTCTCAATTCATGGAGAAATAGTGTATAGTTCAGATACGAAGTGAGCAATAACTTTTTCCTAAGCCTACAGTCAGAGTGTACAGCATAATTTCCTCCCTTGAAGGTAGGCTGTGATTAGAGAGGGACATAGTCAAGGGAGGATCTGTTTAAGATGGAAGAAAATCAAACCTGTTCTATACCTTAAGGAGAAGCAATTAAAGGAAGGAAAATATTTAAAGATGTAGAAGAGAGAAGAAATGACTTCTGAAGAAATAAGGGGGTGAGAGGATGTGGTCAAAGGCAAGAATAAAATAATTTGCTTAAGCAAGGTGGAAGGTCTCATTGTCTTAGAGAGGGGGAAATGTGAGAAAGGTGGGCATGATCCAGTTAAGATGGCTAATGAAGGACAAGGTGGAGAATTATGAGTCTTAAGCCCTTTCACCCTGACATAGCAGGAAACAGGAAATAGTTAAGACAGGGAGAAGTCCTCTGCCTAGTATAGGAGCCCAACAACACGAGAGTTTGAAACAAGAAGATAAACTTACTCATGGATCCTTGAGGTAAAGCTAAAGAACAATAACAATTATTCAAGTCAGTCTAAAGTTTCAATAATCCATCAATTTCCCAAAAGTCTTCCCAGAAATAGTGTCCTCCCTCAGGTTATTAGACTTTCCATTCGCCTGTAGGTAGGCTCATAAAGTGGCCACACTTGCAAGTGATCCCATGTCTTTTCCCCCTTAGACACTATGCAGGAGTGAAAGTTTCAGGGGAATATTCAGCTTTACTATATTTCCAATATTCTGATTTCATTCACCACCTTTCTCCTGTCTTTTCCGTTTCTCCCTCCCTCTTTCTTTCATCTTTTCAGTTTGGAGAGTCTTCTTTCCCTAATGTGATAGCCTCAAGAACCAAAGAAAGGCAATGTTACAAAGGTTCTAGTTTTATAAGAAAAGAAAACCGAGATTGAGAAAGGGAAGGGCTGTGCCTGAGTATGCAAAAAATTAAAGGCAGTTTTAGCTTCCAGTTTGCTTGACTTTAAGTTCAGCACGTTTTCCTTCATATTCTTTACAATTTTCTCTTCTTTCTGAATATTCCTTAAACATTTTTTTCTTTAACGTACTGACCATCTTCCCTCTCCAACATTTTGTTTCTGTTCTTTTTGTTCAGCTCTAAAATGTTTCTCTTGTAAAATAACCTAAATTCTAGGGCAAGACTTGTAGAAGGTTTAATGATATTAACTTTGATAGTAATTTGTACAAGCTACCATAGAATGAACCCTCACTATATTCAGTGGAGAAAGTCTGGGCATTAGTCTTATTTGTCTTACATTGACTGTTAAATGACTATGCAAAGTTTGATAATTCTCACCATCTTTTGGAACTGCATTTATTTAATTTAATTAATTAATTTATTTTATTTTATTATTATTGTACTTTAAGTTTTAGGGTACATGTGCACAATGTGCAGGTTAGTTACATATGTATACATGTGCCATGCTGGTGTGCTGCATCCATTAACTCGTCATTTAGCATTAGGTATATTTCCTAATGCTATCCCTCCCCCCTCCCCCCAACCCCCACCCCACAACAGTCGATCAATGACAGGGTTTAATAATTTTTCTTCTGCTCAACTTTTATGATTCAATGAGGCTAAATTCACAAACTAAAGCCCTGTGTTCTTGGGCCTTTTAGCCTTAGGGTAAGTTTTGGTAGGAGAAGCAAAAAGGCTGACTTTCTAGAAATAGGGCCTGCCTAGAAAGAGGTAAATAAGGAGGACAAGGTCCCTAGACAAACAAGCGTTTATGGTACTGAAACAACCAAGAACTTGCTCAATTCCCTTGTAAATTGTGCTAGATACCCACATCTCTAAGTGCACGTCAATTGCTTAAAAGCATCAGCGTTAATCCCCCTTTGAAAAGAAGATCAGAAAAAAAATCCCTCACACTACCCTCACCAGGGAGCATCAAATCCTCTATGCCAGCTGTAGTGTGATTTTTTCATGGATTGTTTAGGCATCTTATATTTTGGTGGTGTGGCCGAGGCCCAGAATGACATGTAGGACTGATGATGAGCAGAGAAGGTGATTCCCTTTTCCTTTTCTTCTCAGCCTTTGTAAAGACTGAAACTGTTAAGGGAACTTGGAAGACCTTAGGTTTTTTTTGGGGGGCTGGGGTGGGGGGGACAGGGTTTCACTCTGTTGCCCAGGTTGAAGTTCAGTGGTTGCATAGCTCACTATAACCTCTCACTACTGGGCTCAAGTGATCATCCCAACTCAGCCTCCCATGTAGCTAGGACTACAGGCATGCCACCATGCCCTACTGATTCTTTTAATTGTTCTGTAGAGACAGAGCCTCACTATGTTGTCCAGGCTGGTCTTGAGTTCCTGGCCTCCAGGATCCTCCTACTTTGGCCTCCCAAAGTGCTGGGATTACAGGTGTAAGCCACCATGCTTGGCCCTTAGTCTTTTTTTTTTTTTTTCTTTTTCAGGTGGAGGACCTTAGTCTTGATTAAACTTTCTGTAGTTTCCCTATGTGCTCCCTTCTTATTATCTGTTTGCTCTCATTTCTCTTTCCTAAATTGAGAAATAGAAAATAAACTGAAATACGGTTCCTGGAATTGGCACTGAGGAATAATAATAAAAATTCACATCCGTCTGAGTTAATTGGTTTATAAAGTATATAATTCTCACCGAAATCATTTTAGAAAGGGGACCCTTGATTAGGTCTCATTAAGTACAATGGGCCATCAACTACTAGAATGCTTGGGTTTGAATTCTGGTTCCTCTACTTACTAGCTGTGTTACTCTGCCTGTTTTTTTTTTTATGCCTAAGTTTATTCATTTTAAAAATAGGATTTATAATATCTACTTTCTAGGATTATTATGAAGAAAAAATGTTTAGGACAGAGCCTGGAGCATAATGCTCAACACATATTATTATATCATCATTTCAGATTGCAGTCCTTATCTTTTTATACATGTATGGGTAATGGACCATAGTCTCCTCTATCTTGGGCACTACGCTAGTTCAAGATTTTCAAGGAAATAATAGGATCAAGTCCTTTGAGGTCCTGGTTTGAGAGGCCCTTTCTCGAGTTATCACAGTCCAGTGAATTGCCTATGAGAATTATCTCTCAAGAGGGCCTCATCCATTCTGTAGGACCACACGTCATCTTGAGCTTCAGGGATGAATAGCTTCCTGTGGCCCTATGCATCTTTCAGCTAAATACTCTACATAACTAATTACTCATCATCCTTTGAGATTAATCCCAAAATGTGTCATATCCTCATTTAATTTACTCACCATCCAAAGACAATTCCTCATCTTAAGGATGCTTATTATCATAATGCTTTTTATAATTCCTAATCGGACGTTCCTTCCACCTCTCCTTACTCCCTAAAACACACCATGCTGTCTGAAATTCATATCAGCAAATTTTCCTGTATCTTTAACTTCTCCAAACGTTTTCTTCACCGTCTTGCTTTAATATTCCTGTCTTTTAAAATACTGTATCTCAAGCCTGGGTGCGGTGTCTCATGCCTGTAACCCCAGCAATTTGGGAAGCCGGGGAGGGCAAATCACTTGAGGCCAGGAGTTCAAGACCAGCCTGGGCAAGATGGCAAAACCCTGTCTCTACTAAAAATACAAAAATTAGCTGGGTATTGTGGCGCACGCCTGTAATCCCAGCTGCTTGGGTGGCTGAGGCACAAGAATCGCTTGAACCCGGGAGGTGGAGTTGCAGCGAGCCGAGGTTGCACCCTGCACTCCAGCCTGGGTAACGGAGTGAGATTCTATCTCAATTTTTTAAAAAAATACTTATCTCAGATGTTGCTCAAAGCATACAAAATTGCAGTTAGATGAGAGGAATACTTTCAGGAGATCTATTGTATAACATGGTGATCGTAGTTAATAATGTGTTATACTTGACATTTGCTAAGAGAGTAGATTTTAAGTGTTCTTACCACAAAAAGTATGTGAGGAAATGGATATGTTAACAGCTTGATTTAGTCATTCTACAATGTATACATATATCAACACATTATGTTGTATACCATAAATATATACAATTTTGTCAATTAAAAATTATAACATTTTTAAAAAACCATGTCTCTTACAGCCCTCTTAGATTTTTTTTTTTTTTGAGACAGGGTCTCACTCTGTCACCCAGGCTGGAGTGCAGTGGCGTAATCACAATTCACTGTAGCCTTGACCTCTTGGGCTCAAGTGATCCTCCCACCTCAGCCTTCCAAGTAGCTGGGACCACAGGTGCACACCACCATGCCGGCTAATTTTTTATTCATTGTAGAGACAGGGTCTCACTCTGTTGTTGAGGCTGTGATGTCTGGTTTTTTGTACGTTTGTTTTAGAAAAAATCCATACCCATATACATGCCTGAATATAGGTAAATGTCATTTTTGCTCCCCATTGCTGTTTCCGAACAGTCTTCTCCAGTAGAAACTCCTGTTGTCTTTGAAGCACATATGAGACTTTACTCTGTACCTCTCTCCTTCTTGCCATCATAAATAAATATGATGGTCATTCTCTCCCATTTCATTCTCTACCAGAAGCCAGGGTTGCCTTTTTAAAGCATAAATGTGGCTTTATCCCTTCCCTGATGAAAACAATGGCTTATTGTGGTGCTCAGAATTGTTCTCCATATTTTATTCTAAAAGACTTTTTGTGATCTGGCCTCTCCCTACCTTTCAAACTCCTCCACGATCTTTCACAACTGGCCTTCCCGCAATCTCTCATACATGCTACTCTTCTTCCCCTCTGAGGAACTTGGTGTTCTTTCTGCCTGAGATACTCTTCCCTAAGATCCTCCTGTGGCTGCCAGCTTTTCGCCATTCAGAGTCAGTTCAGATATCTCCTCAGGGAAATTTCTTCTAATCTCCTAGCTAAAGGCCCTCACTTCTTGGTCTTGCTCTATCATATTATCTTAATTTGTTTTCTCCGTAGAATTTACTATGATAGTCTAGTAATCATAGTAGGAATTATCTAGAAAGGGAAATCATTGTATTTGTTTGCTTATGTGTTTATTTTCTGTCTTACCTCACTAGAATCTATGCTGTCTGTGAAATACTTATGTTGTCTTAGGTATAGCAGCTGCAGTGCTCTAAATGATTTCCCCTTTGGAGGGTTTTTATGGCAAGCCTGTCTCACATGGGTCCTCTGCAGATTTTGCTGAAGAAACTGAAGATTTGAGTTTATTGTTTAGCATGTTTCAACTCCCAAATATTTTACCCTTTCCATAAGTTAGATGCAAACAAAGTAAAACTAGATAAAACATGTTTTAATTATAAAAGTAATAAAATATTGAGCTTGATAGCTTTCTAAGGGCACCTGTTCACAGTTGTATATACAACAAAACAGCCTTATTCATGGGATAAGGTTATGGCACAGTATTGGATTAGCACACTAATTCTGATATTTTATATTAATTTACATTTTAAGATTTTCAAATTACATTTTAAAAATTGAAGTAATATATTTTTAACATATGCATGATTTTCTAAATTCCTTGGAACAAACATTTTATTTCCAAAGAATACTTTGGATTGGAAGAGTAAATACATTTAATGATGTCCTGGGGGTAGTTGGACAACCTCAGGACTTGGAGTCCAAAGGCCAGTGTTTAGAACCTCAGTTTTACTCTTTTGCTAGCTATATGCCTTGGGTCAAGTTAAATAATATCTTTAAATTTCATTTTTTCCTCATGTGTAATATCTGTAAATAGTCAAGAAAGATGACTTGCTTTAATTACAAACCTCTCCTTGTCCCCTACTCCCATTCCCTGATCTCTTCACAAGCCTCTCTCTTCTTCCCTCCTATTCCTAAGTTAATGAATTTATTACTGTTTTGCTGAAACTATGATTGCCAGCTAAAACCATTTTAATCCTCTCTTTATTCTTTAATCGGTGGACTTCTCATTCTTCGAAGTTCTCATTAATTTTAGACAAAATGCTCAATGATGGGGAAGGAAAAGGAGGTGAGGGACAAAATCTCAGCAGGGTTAGGGAATGTTCCTTAGTTCTGTGACACACTAAAGAGACTTAGAATTTGGAAATATGAAATTTCCCTCCTTGCTCTCCTAAAAGTAAATATAAACAAAAAATTCATGTGGTTGTCTGGCTCAAAAACTATCCATTTCTTTCTTTTTTTTTTTTTTTTTGCAGGGGACAGGGCAGGAATGAGTATCAGAACCAGGAACGCCTGGGAGCACCAAACCCTTAGTGTCAGTTGCAGCTCAGGGGGATAGGGAATTAGCCATCTCTTCCATTGCTGCCAGCCTGACTTGGGGATGCCTCAAGGAAGGCTGCCCTTTCGTGCTAGCCATGTAAAGCTTTAAAATTCTGAGGACACAGCTAATATCATTTATCCCTCATTCTATATTATCCTCATCCTCATCTTATTTTTCTTACTAACTTTTTGCTCTTATCCTTTATTTACTCTGTTTTCCCAACACTTCAGGTTTGGAAATTGCTCTCTTCATGTCATCATAATAAACCACTAGAAACTTGCATTTACTTTTGACTGATTATTGAAGTGTCTGGTTATGGAGAACAAAGAAATTGGAGAAATGTGAAGCTTAAGCTTCTGCTGTGCTGCAGCGAAGAAGTCTGGGAAGTTTAGGAAGATATCCTCTTGATTAACTGGGGCTAAATGTCAGCAGAATTGAAGAAAAGTAAAGGAACTTACCAATACTTGATCGAGACAGTGCTAAAATAAAACACATCAAAAGAAGAATGAGTTCTGTTTGTCCCAGGGAGAACTTAGATGCCATAGACACTATATTGCAGAAAGGTTGTGGAAAAGAGGATAGAAATGAGTCACAACTTATTTCCTGGTATCAATTGCAATGCAATGTGGTGAGCAGCTGGATATCTACATATGGATTCCAATACTTTTGTGGTAAGGTGGGACTACAAGATCTATGCAACCTGTCTTTCAATTTTGGTAAGAGAATAAAAATATTTTTGGAGATTGCTAGTTTCTCAATCTGAGGACATTTTTCTGTCCCTATAAGTCTTCTTTCATTGGTGATTCTGCTGCTCTGTTCTTTCCTTCTCTACCTTTCCTCCACCTCTTCCTCTCTCTCCTTAATTTTCTGTTTTCCCTTTGTTCGAAAAGATTTTTTGTTACACCAAACAATTACCACCTAACTGCTTCAACAGGGGTTTCCACTTTCCAAAATTCACTTGTGCCCTATGGAGGTGAAGAATAGCAAGAGACCAAATCAGGAAGTTCTTGAATAATATTAGAAGCTAAAGAGTCAAAGTAGTGAAAGTATTTAGAACCTCGGGGCTTACTGAAAGGGTGCTTGCTATTGAGGGGAATATTTCATCCTCTCCTTTAAGTGATTACTTTGAACATGGTATTTTTTAAAGTTTATAAAGTAGAGCTGAGCTTGAAAACTAAAAAGAGAAGTAATATATTCAAGAAAAATATATCAAGAAGGAACCCATATTCTTGGTAATGAATGAGAAGTTTTACCACCCATGTGATACCTTATTGGGGGACTGAGGCTTAAACACCTGATCACCAGCAGAAATCAAGGCCATAGGCCTCATGCATTGTAAGAACCTGGGATTATCTTCCTGTTTAATATGTTAGGTTACATGGAAAAAGGGAATTAATATTGCAGATGAAGTTAAAGTTGCTAATCAGCTGACCTTAAAATAGGATGATGATTTTGGTATATCTGAGTGGGCCTAATATAATCACAAAGATTTTTAAGAGTGGGAGAGGGAGATAAAAGAGAGTAAGAGAAAGAGGTACTACAGTGGAAGAAGGGCAGAATGGTGTGATGTGAGGACTTGATTCATTTTTGTTCACTTTGAAGATAGAAGAAGGGAGCCATGAACCAAGGAATGTGGCCAGCCTCTAGAAGCTGAAAAAGCAAGGAAGCAGATTTGTTCCTAGAACCTCCAGAAAGAATGCAGTCTTGCTGACAACCTGATTGTTGTCCAGGGAGACATATATGACAGATTTATAACCTATGGAACTGATAGATAATAAATTTGTGTTGTTTTAAGCCATTAAGTTTGTGGTAATTTGTTAGAGCAGCTATAGAAAACTAATACAACGTGGTTGACTATTTCCCCAAAATTCCCTTGTAGTTAGGTGTGGCTATATGCTTGAGTTCTAGCCAATCTAATGTTGTTAGAAGTGATATGAAAGTCATCCAGGCTTGTTTGTAAAGTCATCCACTCATGATCTTCAAGCTTTTTTCTTTCTGTTCACTTAAGGTGGACTAACATGATGAACTTAGGAGCCATTATTTGAAGATGGTGGAGTCATTAGTTAAGATGAATTTGAGTGCCTAAGACACTGCTGAGAGAAGGGCCATCCGCCAATCTGGAATTCCTGTTTTGGACTTCTCATAAGTAAGAAATAAAATTCTATTAGGGAAAACCACTGAGATTTTAAGATCCGGGGCTAACTTAATCAGTGCAGATAAGAAATATAAAAGAGAAGTCACAAGATCTGAAAGATGGAAGGAAAATCTTTACATACATAGTAATTTTAGAAGTAGAGACTACAGTTTGTTGTTAGATATAGATATAAATATGGGCAAAATTCATAGCAATTAAAGTTAAATTTTTCTGTAATTAGAAAGATTGAGTCCACAGAATGGAAACTCTTGAATGTTTATGAGTGTGAGATTAACTTCATTTATCCTGCTCAGAGTAAATGGAAGCATTCAGGATTTTCCATTGTGGGTGTGAGATTCACTTCATTTATCCTGCTCAGGATAACCTCACACTCATAAAAAGTTAATCTCACACCTATAAACATTATAATTAAATGCAGAACACAAAAATAAAGAGAATCTTGAAAATATATTTACTTAGGAACAAACATCAAACTAGTGATAGATTCTTATCAACAATAATAAATAATAAACAACAAGCAAATGGAATAAATCTTCAAAGTACAGAGGGAAAATAATGTTCAATTCTATACCTAGCTAAATTTTCATTTAAGGCTGAAGGTGAAGTAAAGCTATTTTCAGCCATATGAAGGCTTAGAAAATTTTTCACATACATGTAGAGTTTAAAGAACCAGTAAAGGATTGTATTTGGGCAAGAAATAGAAGAGAAAAGACACAGGATGTAGCAAATAATGTTAAGCAAAAACAATGCTGAAATATTGTTGTAAGTCTAAGTAATAATTAATTGTGAAAATAAATAATTATTTTGTCTTTAAAAAGAATACCACAAACAAGATGGAGAATTTGGAAAGAGTAGTTTGGAGGGAAGATGGTCAAATAAAAGTTATTATCTAGTCTTGGAAGAAGATACCGATTATCTTTAATTTTTAAAGAAAAATTAAATAGTACACATGTTACAAATATCAGGATACATAAAACAAAATCCAGAAAAACACTAAGTAAAACAAAAGAAACAAGGAATTCTAATATACCAGCAGAAGGTAGAAAAGAAGATTTAAAAATGAAAGAACAGAGCATAGTACTGTAAGTTGAAAACACAATATAAATTGGAAACATTTAGATAAACATATAACAATTCACAATATAAAATGAACTAAATTCATCTATTAGGAAACAGAAAATTTTACATTGTTAATATGAACAAAGTCAAGCAATATGCCATTTAAAAAAGACACAAGACAAAAACAAACTTTTAAGGTTCAAAATAAAAGGATGAAAAATAGGCAAATACTAATTAAAACAAAGGTGTTAGAACAATGCTAATATCAGAGTGTAGAATTGAAGTAAAAAAATAGTCATGAGGATATGAGTGGATATGAGGATATGAGTTTCAGCAGCATTTAGAAGTTACTTAGATACTTATATTAGAAAATAAGAGCGCCCACTTTGGCAGCATATATACTAAAATTGGAATGATACAGAGAAGATTAGCGTGGCCCGTGTGTAAGGATGGCATGAAAATTCATGGTGTCCCATATAAAAATAAAATAAAAAAAGAAGATGAGAAAGTCTGGAAATTGATTAAGAGTTTCATACAGCAAGCTAGAAAAAGGAACAAAAATAAAGCAAAAGTAAAGAGAAGGAATTTTACCCATAGATATACATAGCCCAAGCTATGACAAGAAAATGGTTTTAAGAATTGGAAAAGGAAACTCAAGATTATCAGATTTTGCAGATGACATGATTTTTTACATATAGAATTCAAAAGAATCTGAAAATTATTAGAACTCTAAGAGCACAGCAGGGTGGCTAGATACAAAATCTACTCTCAAATATACAACATATAACTTATATTCCAACAATAATTATTTGTAAAATCCATGTAGAGAGATAGTATTAACATCCGAAACAAAAAACAAGTATGTGTATAAGAATTAATGCAGCAAAAGACATGCAAGACCTTTCTGAAGAAAATTATATTACATTATTGAAGGGTATATGAGAAAATTTGAATAGTAGGCAACCATGTTAATGCATGGGAATAATTGATTTTACAAATTAATCTACAGGCTCAATGAAATTTCAATGAAATCCTAATATGACTCATAGATTTTGAGAAATTATGAAATTCTTGTGTAAGAGAAAAGGTCAAAGAATAGCCAACACATTTCTGAAAAAGAACAAAGATAATGTGCTATTTTTTGTAATGTTATAAAGTTTTAGTAGTGAAAGCAATGGAGTATTGGTTCAGTAAAAGACAAAAGATCACTGGAACAGAAAATAAAATCCACGGAAAAACGAAATATATAAGATGAAGATGGCATTACAAATCAGCAGAGAAAGAATGCACCAGTCAATAAATCTAGTTGGAACAAGATGAGACGAAATCCCTCTAGTTGGTTTTCCAGATGAAAGGAAAATTAGATCTCACCTGTATTATTACTAAAATCACTCACCAAAACCAAAAAACAATTAACAAAGCCCCATTTGGATTAAAGTTCTATATGTAGAAAGGGAAATTTCAAAACTATTAAGAGAAAGTATTAGATAAAATCTTTGTGATACCCAGATAAGGCCAAAGAAACTAAAAAGCAGAAACTCTAAAAGAAAACAAGAGATTGACAAATTTTATTACAATAAATTGTGTGGTGCTGGGGGAGAGTGAGTAGAGGCCTTCTAAAAGTCAAGAGACAGCATAAAAATTTAAAGCTAAGAGACAGAATTGGATGAGATAATTGCAGATATTTAACATAACATATAAAAGTTAATCTTTCATAATAATAAAGAATTACTACAGATCAATAACTAATAGATAAATGGGTAAAGTAAATGAACAAGCAATTTATATAGGGTGAAGCCTCACTAGCTAGTAAGCCTATGAGAAGATACTCAATTTCAGGAGTGAGCAGGGAATGCAGATTTTAAAAATTGTATACGTATTCAAGTGGCAATAATAGAAAAATATGACAAAATCTGGGATTGTTACTAATGCAGAGAAATTGGAAATATTTATTTATTTTTGTATGCCTCTATGTAACTACCAAGGAGCTTAATTAATAGCTACTAAAATTTAAAATATGCATAAATTACATAAATGCTCATATACAATGTGAACACTAATCCTACTTCAGGGTATGTACCCCGGATAAACTCTTTTCCATCTACTTAAGGATTGTCTTTGCAGCATTATTTGTGATAGCAGAAATTGGAAACATTGAGAATGCATCGGTAGTAGAAATAATAGAAAAATATTGTATATTCATAAGGTGGAATATTATTCAACAAAGTGTATAACCTGGATTTCAAAACTACATTTTGAGAGAAAAATGCAAATCGTAATGATACTATCAGACAGATGCCATTTTAGTAAAATTAAACATTAAAAAAAGATACTATATTTTGTTCAGTGATAGGTAGAGACTATAAATATATGTAAATAGACTTAAATATTTAAAATATATTAATAAGCCTTTGGGAAGAAGGGAGTGGAATATGTCTATGATAACTTGAGAAATATGACAAGAATATTATCAATTTGTCACATCTAAGGTGTGATATACAAGTGTTAATTATTTTTATACTTAATTTTAAAAACTTTCTTAAAAGAGAAAAAATACAGAAAAAATAGGGCTTGCAAACCAGATGACAGTAGAATTGAAAGAAAACCACAAAGCACTTACCTAGAGAGTTGGTTGATGGTGCTAAAATACACACACAGAAAACATGAGGTGAATCATGAGAGTTTGGATCCCTAATCTTTACATATCAGCTTCAGTTGCTGTCACCCCCTTCTCAGGAGTTAAAGTCTAGGCCCCGGGAGTCATCACTGATCTGGTGATGGGTACTGACAGCCACTCCCACCAGCTACTGCATATGCTTTCCATCTCTAAAAATGGGTTTAATTTTTAGTAGGCAGATGCCATTCCTACTGCCCTAATTCCTCCCTCCCTTTTTTCCCTCTCTATTTTCTTCTCTCTCTCCCTTTTATCTTTATTACTTTCCTTTTCTCTTGCTCATCACTTCTATTGTTTTCCTTTTCTCCCAGCCAGATCATTCTAAACCAGCACTAGAAAACTTTATCTATTGCTTAGTATTCATATGACTTGACATATGACAGGATTTCTCTTTCCTCCAAAGCATTTACAATCTAGGGAAATGTTACTAATAGGAAGCAAATTTTTGTTAAGAAGCAAGATAATACTTACTGTAATCTCTTTTGGATCTCTCTGAAAACATAAACAAAAGAAAGAAAAATCAATTTGGATATTCTATTTCTGTAGTTTTGGTATCACTACAGAGGATTACCCAGTCAACACCCTCAAATATCCAGTTAGGCAAGAAACTGGAGACAAAATCTCCTCATGGCTTAATTTATAAGTTTAATGACATTAAAAAAACAGGCAGAGTTTAATTAAGGTAAATACATGTAGTGAGAAGAAATAATAAACTATACATGCAAACATTGAAACAGAAGAATGTATAGTTATAAGGTAAGTTGAGGTCAAATAAAAGAAGGAATGGCAAAATATTTACTCAGCTGACTGAGAATTCAAGTTCAGTGACAATATGGCAAATTATAATGAATGCAAATGTGTATATTGATTGCGATTGAATGTGCATCCTATGATCTAAAACTTGTTTCTTAGTGATGTCATGGAAACAGACTTTCTAAAAGATCTGGAGACAAAGCAAATTACATGGAAAACTAGTCATGTTATCACTGTTGTTTTCATAAAAGTGTAAAAGTAAATAGTAATATTGATACTTTGTAGTTGATTTAAATTATGTTGAATCATAATATCATTTGCTATTTCACTAAAGTATAGTTAAAGATCTACTCAGAAATGTGAAGACAATAGTATTTTTTTTTCAGCTTCTTTTCTGAAAATGAGTGCTCTCCTTCCATACTTGGCAGTCATTGTGATGGGAATTAAGTACAAAACACATTCTCTGTTTTATAATAATGTTTCTTGTTTCTCATGGTTCTATGGGGATTTTAAAAACGGTGTCTCAAGCCTGTAGTCCCAGCACTTTGGGAGGCCGAAGTGGGTGTGTTACCTGAGGTCAGGAGTTC
>NT_167244.2:3692404-3746707 GCF_000001405.40 Homo sapiens
GGCCAACTTCTGCCCATTTCTTCCACCCCCTAACTTCTGGTAATCACCTTTCTGCTGAGTTCAACTTTTTAAGGTTCCATATATACATGAGATCATGTAGTATTTGTCTTTCTATGCGTGGCTAATTATACTTAGCCTAAGGTCTTCCAGGTTCATCCATGTTGTCACAAATGGCAAGATTTCTTTCTTTTCCTAAGGCTGTATAATATTTCATTGTGTGTGTGTGTGTGTATGTGTGTGTGTCTGTGTATCACATTTTCTTTATCCATTCATCCACTGATGGACACCTAGTTTATTCCTCTATCCCGGGTATTGTAAATAATGCTGCAATGAATATGGGAGTGCAAACATCTCTTCAGGATAATGATTTTTATTTCCTTTGAATATATGCCCAGAAGTAGCATTCCTGAATCATATGGTAGTTCTATTTTTAATTTATTGGAGGAACCACAATATTGTTTTCCATAATGGCTGTATTACTTTACATTCCTAACAACAGTGTACAAGGGTTCCCTTTTCTCCATATCCTTGCCAACACTTGTTATCCCTTGACATTTTGAATGCATCCTATCTGGTGTGAGGTGCATTTCCTTGATGATTAGTGATATTGTGCACCTTTATTTATTAGTTGGCTGTAAGTCTTCTCTGAAAAAATGTCTATTTAGGTCCTTAGTCCATTTTATTTTATTTTATTTTGTTTTTTTCTCTCTCTCTTTTTTTTTTATTATACTTTAAGTTCTAGGGTACATGTGCACAATGTGCAGGTTTGTTACATATATATACATGTGCCATGTTGGTGTGCTGCACCCATTAACTCGTCATTTACATTAGGTATTTCTCCTAATGCTATCCCTCCCTGCTTCCCCCACCCCGCAACAGGCCCCAGTGTGTGATGTTCCCCACCCTGTGTCCAAGTGTTCTCATTGTTCAGTTCCCACCTATGAGTGAAAACATGCAGTGTTTGGTTTTCTGTCCTTGCAATAGTTTGCTGAGAATGATGGTTTCCAGCTTCATCCACGTCCCTACAAAGGACATGAACTCATCATTTTTTATTGCTGCATAGTATTCCATGGTGTATATGTGCCACATATTCTTAATCTGGTGTATCATTGATGGACTTTTGGGTTGGTTCCAAGTCTTTGCTATTGTGAATAGTGCCACAATAAACACACGTGTGCATGTGTCTTTATAGTAGCATGATTTATAATCCTTTGGGTATATACCCAATAATGAGATGGCTGGGTCAAATGGTATTTCTAGTTCTAGATCCTTGAGGAATCACCACACTGTCTTCCACAATGGTTGAACTAGTTTACACTCCCACCAACATTGTAAAAACATTCCTATTTCTCCATATCCTCTCCAGCACCTGTTTCCTGACTTTTTAATGATTGCCATTCTAACTGGTGTGAGATGGTATCTCACTGTGGTTTTGATTTGCATTTCTCTGATGGCCAGTGATGATGAGCATTTTTTCATATGTCTGTTGGCTGCGTAAATGTCTTCTTTTAAGAATTGTCTGTTCATGGACTAAGGTTCATGAACAGATATGAACCTTAGTCCATTTTAAAATCAGCTTATTTGTTTCAGCTGTATTTTGAGTTGTATCTTGCTTTTGAGTTGTATGAGTTCCTTATATATTTTGGATATTGCTGTGGTTTTAATGTCCTCTCCGAAACTCATGTTGAAACTTAATCTTCAATGTGACAGCATTGAGAAGTGAGGCCTTAAAGAGGTGATTATATCATGAGGGTTCTACCCACATAAATGGATTAATCCACTAATGGATTAATGAGTTGTCAGGCAAGTGGAACTGGTGGCTTCATAAGAAGAGGAACGGGCCGGGCGCGGTGGCTCAAGCCTGTAATCCCAGCACTTTGGGAGGCCGAGGTGGGCGGATCACGAGGTCAGGAGATCAAGACCATCCTGGCTAACACGGTGAAACCCTGTCTCTACTAAAAATACAAAAATTAGCCGGGCGTAGTGGCAGGCGCCTGTAGTCCCAGCAACTCGGGAGGCTGAGGCAGGAGAATGGCGTGAACCCGGGAGGCAGAGCCTGCAGTGAGCCGAGATCGCGCCACTGCACTCCAGCCTGGGCAACAGAGCCAGACTCCGTCTCAAAAAAAAAAAAAAAAAAAAAAAGAAGAGGAACGACCTAAGCACAGCATGTTAGCCACCTTGCCATGTTATGCCCTGTACCACTTCAGGAATCCGCAGAGAGTCGCCACTAGCAGGAAGGCTCTCTTGCGCCACATGCGCCCCCTCAGCCTTGGACTTTCCATCCTCCATAACTGTAAGAAATAATAATACATTTCTTTTCTTTATAAATTACCCAGTTTCAGATATTCTGTTATAAGCAACAGAAACAGATTAAGACAAATATTAACCACTTATCAGATATATGGTTTGCAAATATTTTCTCCTATTCTGTGAGTTGGCTTTCATTTTGTTGATTGTTTCCTTTGTTGTCCAGAAACAATTTTGTTTGACGAGATACCACTTATTTTTGCTTTTGTTACTGTGTTTTTGGTGTCATATAAAACAACTTGCAAAGACCAATGTCATGGAACTTTTCACTGTTTTATTATAGGAGTTTTATAGTGGCAAGTCTTACATTAAAGTCTTCAATCCATTTTGAATTGATCTTTGTGTATGGTATATGATAAGGGCCAATTTCTTTTTGTTTTTGCATATGGATATCCGGTTTTCCTAATAACATTTATCCTTTCCCTATTGGGTATTCTTGGTAACTTTATTTTCTCCCTTGTTAATTTTCTGTGTGGATGCTCTATTCATTGTCAATAATGGGTTACTGAAGTCCGCTACGATTATTATATTGCTGTTTCTCCCTTCAGTTATGTAAATATTATATATTTAGGTGCTCTGACATTATGTGCATATGTACTTATAATTTTTATATCCTCTTGATGAATTAGCCCTTTATAATTATATAATGAGCTCCTTTGTCTCTTGTTATAATTTTTGACTAAAAGTCTATTTTGCCTGATGTAAGTATAGCCACCCCTACCGTCTTTTGTTTTCCATTTGCATGGAGCATCTTTTTTTCATCCCTTTACTTTCATTCTATATGTATCCTTAGAGCTGGAGTGTGTCTGCTACAGGCAGCACAGATAGTTGCAACTTGTTTTTAAATACATTTAGCTACTCTGTGTCTTTTCATTAGAAAATTTAATCCATTTACGTTCAAGTAATTATTGATAGTTAAGGACTTAATATAGTTATTTTCTTGGTTGTTTTTTGGCTGTTTTGTATATCCTTTCTTCCTTTCTTCCTGTCTTTCTTTGTGATTTGCTGATTTTCTGTAGTGGTATGCTTTAATATCTTTCTGTTTTGTGTATCTAGTATAGGTTTTTGGTTTGTGGTTACCATAAGCTTACATAAAACATGGTTTCAACAGTCTATTTGAAGCTAATAATAACTTAGATTATTAAAATAGATTACATACAAAAACTCTACATATTATTCTCACTACTTTTTACATTCTCAGTGTCAAAATTTACATTTAAAAAATTGTATATTCATTAACAAATTATATACTTTTAATATTTTGTCTTTTAACTTTTATATTAGCATTAAAAGTTATTTATATACCATCATTACAGTATTAGAATATTCTGAATTGACTGTATATTTACCTTACCAGTGAATTTTATACTTGGATATGTTTTCATTTTACTAATTATTGGCCTTTCATTTCAGCTTGAAGAACATTCTCTAGCATTTCTTGTAAGGCAGATCTATTGGTGATAAACTCCCTCAGCTTTTGTTTGTCTGATAAAGACTATCTCTTTCTCAGATCTGAAAAACAGCTTTACGGGTAAAGAGTTATTGGTTGGCAGTTTTTTTCTTTCAGCAAATTGAGTATATCATCCCATTATATACTGGCCTAGAAAATGTCTGCATAGAAGTGCTAATATCCTTTTGATGTACCTTTAAATGTGATATGCTTCTTTCAAGATTCTCTGTTTAACTTTGATTATTGACAATTTGACATAATGTCTTGGAGAAGTCTTCTTTGGGTTAAATACAATTGGAGAGTTTTGAGTTTCATATATCGAGATGTCTATATCTCTTCACAGATTTGGAAAGTTTTTAGCAATTATGCCTTAAATAAGCATTTATTCTATTTTATTTCTCTTTTCCTCTGAGACTCCAATAATGCAAAAAGTTAGCTCCCTTGATGGTGTCCCATAAATCTTGTACATATTTCTTCATTTCTTTTCTTTGTGGTTTTTTTTTTTTTTTGTACTCTGACTAGATAATTTTAAATATTGGTCTTTGACTTCTCTTATTCTTTCTTGTACTTGATCCATCATCTTGGAAGCTCTCTATTTCCTTTTTGTTTTAGTTTAGGCATTGCACCCTTCAGCTCCAAAATTTGTATGGCTCTGTTTTGTTTTTTTTTCTCTTTGTTGAACTTCTACTTTTGTTCTTGTGTTGTTTTCCTGATGTCATTATATTGTTTGTGTTGTCTTGTAGCTCACTGAGCTTTCTTATAACAATTGTTTTGGATTTTTTTGTCAGGCAACTGGTGGATTGATTTTTAGGCAAACCTTCATTTTTGGGGGTTAGTTACTGAAATATTATTGTGTTCTTTTAGTGGTGTCATGTTTCCTTGATTTTTATGACCTTGAAGTCTTGTCTTGTGTTTTCACATTTGAAGAAACAGTCACCCTGTTCAATATTTGTTTGTGCCTACTTCACAGGTGGGATTTTTTCCCTTTTTTTGAGAGAAAATCTCACTCTGCTACCCAGAGTGGAGCAGTGGCATGATCGTGGCTCACTGCAGCATCAAACTCTTGGGCTCAAGCAATCCTCCCACCTCAGACTCCTGAGTAGCTGGGACTGCAGGTGTGCACCACCACATCCAACTGATTTTTTTTTTTTTTTAGAGACGGAGTCTCACTATGTTGCCCAGGCCAGTCTCGAACTCCTAGTCTCAAGAAGTCCTCCTGCCTCGGCCTCCCAAAGTGCTGGGATTTCAGGCATGAACTACCACACCCAGGGTAGATGGGATTTCTAAGATTGTGCTTTGTCTCAATCCTGCAAAGCCAGTCCAGGTTCTGAGAGCCTTCCCTTTGTTTTCCCTAGGGTGGTGCTCTGGAATTCTCAAGTTTGTGTCCTTTTTTCCGATCCTACAAAGTCAAACTGACTGTGAGATGTTTCCTTTTGTTGTCCATGGTGGCTCATTTGGGGACTCAGCCTAGATGGGAGAGTGAAATGTGTGAAAGGCGTGCCTGTGGGTCAGTAGTGCAAGGAGCATAGGTCACGCATCTCAAATGGCAGGCTTTCTGATGAGGCTTTCTGATGAGTGGGTTCTGCAGTCTCTTTTCCCTGCTCCCAGCCTCTCCTAACCATTCAACTATGCTGATCATCTCAATGTTCTGGGTGGAGTGAGAAATAAGTGGGCTTATCGGACAGCATCCTGAATGGCTGGGGGATGTGGGCCCTCATTAAGTTCTGCACATTTTTTCTGTGGGAGAAATTGTGGGCCAAGTGGGTCTGTCTCAGCATTGAGTTGTGCCACCTTGGGGGAGGAGTGATGTGGGTAAAGTGAAACTGTTCTTCTTACCCTCTTTAATACATCTGTTCTAGGATTTTATAACCTGACAGCGTGCTGGAACTTCTCTGCTGGACTCCTGGACTCCCACAATGGTATTGTCTCATCTGTGGATAGTTGTCTAAATTGATGCTTCTGTGTGGGAAGAAAGCTCCTATTCTACTATTTTGCTGATGCCTTTCTCTCATATTACTTTTGTTAAATAATTAGGAGTTGGATAGGAGAGGAATTGCATAGCTTTGGGGAAAATGGTGCCTCATAGCGTGATGGTGAACATTTGTGAACATTTCTCAGAATATTCTGTAACTACTTTGATTTCTTCTTCTTCTTTTTTAAATTTTGGTCAGTTTTTATAGCCTTTTATGTTGTGGCAGGAAGAAGCCTGATTTTCCTTTAATTTTACAAAAATCTCTACATATACTTACCTCGGTTATCACATGAAGTGTCTAGAGAATTGAAGAAAAATTATAAGATTCTTAATTTCTCATAAACAGACTCCTATATTAATTTCTTAGCAATACAATAATTTACCACTTTGTGTTGAATATGCATGTCGGGATCCTAAAAGAGAAGATAAAAACATAATGAGATTTTACTTCAACAAGTGAGTCTATATTATTTTTTGTTAGATAGAAATCTGTTTACCTCTTCCTCTTTTAGATCTCTGAGAAGAAAAATCTTTTAGGAAAGAAAAAAACATATTAAGTTTACCAACAGTTCATTAAAAAATAAGTTTATCTGGCCGGGCGTGGTGGCTCACGCCTATGTTCCCAGCACTTTGGGAGGCCGAGGCGGGTGGATCACGAGGTCAGGAGATCGAGACCATCCTGGCTAACACGGTGAAACCCCGTCTCTACTAAAAACACACAAAAAAATTGGCCGGGCGTGGTGGCAGGTGCCTGTGGTCACTGCTCAGAAGGCTGAGAGAGGAGAATGGCGTGAACCCGGGAGGCGGAGCTTGCAGTGAGCCAAGATTGCGCCACTGCACTCCAGCCTGGGCGACAGTGCGAGACTCCGTCTCAAAAAAAAAAAAAAAAAAAAAAAAAAAAGTTTATCATTAGTCTCAATCCAACTACTAAAAGATTTGCTAGTTTCCCAGATATTCCCATTTTCTTTAGGTTCCATTTCAGAAAATAAAGAGGGAATGCCATGGCACTGTGCTCTTCACTCTTGTTGTTCATGATAGATGAATCATAGAGGTAAGAAGGAGAAGGATGGACCAAGAGTCCAAGTGTGGGGCATGGACAGCAAGCGAAGTGACTGAGTTACTTTCTCTTTTCTTTCCTCAACTCTCAGGGATCTATATGCTTGTAGCGTGTGTGTGTGTGTGTGTGTGTGTGTAATTATTTCCACATCCACAATCTCATAACCTTATAGTTCTGGTGTAGCTGGTGGGCCTGGTGTGGACAACTTTAGTGGCTTCCAGCAAGAATGAGAGGTAGCTCTAGTGGTTCTTGTTGAGTTCTGGAGATAGGACTAGTCAGAAAGAGAGAAAGAGGGAAGGAAAGAGAGAGAGAGAGAGAGAGAGAAAGAGAGAGAGAGACAGCCGAGGGAACATCTATAGGCAGCCCTGGTGAGTGGATACTGAAAGAGAACATTGAGTGTTGGGGCGTGAGGGTTAGGGATAGCCATGGTACATTGAAATTAGTGGTACTGGTGTGTCCCTTCAAAAAAGTAGACAGCGCATTGCCGTCTTCTCATAACTCTCACGTTTCAAAACCTGAATTTGATATCCAGCTCCCTCCTCAGCTAGGTGAACTTGAGTAAGTCTCAATCTTTTGAGCATAAATTTCATCTTCTTAAATGGGGATAAGCTTTGTTTACCTCTTCTACTGTATGGCTTTCAAAGTGTATTTTCACATATACTATTCCATTTCATATTCATTTTATCCACATTTTAAACATCCAGGAAATTGTTTCGGAGCGGTTCCTTAACCTTTCTAATATCTTGGAAGTAGACAGAAGATGGAAATGAATTCTTTTGATGGTCTTAAGAAGGAGAATTATTTACCTTTTCTGAGAAAAATGCACAATTTTTCTTGAGAAAGAGAGAGAGGAGTGATAAGCATTTGAATATTATAAAAACGAAAGATATGCTGACTCAACAAATCATGCTCAAATGGAGATGAGTTGATTCACACTCTAAAGAGTATATTCCTTCATTAACTGTCTAGTAGTTCCTAATCTATTTACCTCTACCATCCTCATAGTCCAGAAGTCTAGCACCTAGAAAAAAAGGGAGAGCACATGATTTTGCTTCTTGATTATTAATGAGGCTTTATTTAAGACTCTGAGAACTAATGTAAACATGAACTCCTAATGGTGAATAATGATGTGAATTAATTTACTTTGCAGGAACTAGGAATTGTGCATAAGCTACAAGAGCTGACGATGATAAGTGACTGTGTCAATCACCAATTTTATAATATTAGCCAGGCTAAATGATAGTCAGAAGGAGTTTCAGAGTTTCTTTTACCTCTTGATACTTCAGCAGCTAGTCTCCTGGTTTTTGCCTCATACCAATCCTGTGCTATCTTTCTTAACAACTTTGGCATCTCTCCAGATCTTTCCATGGAAAGTCTTCTTCAATTCTTCACATCCTGAAGTTGGTACTCTTCTCAATCATAATTACCCTAACTGTGTTCACTCTCGTTATTCTAGGATACATTATATTTTTCGGTCCGGCCACTTCACTAAGGCCGTCTTCATGAATGGATTTAGGCTTTTTACTGAACCATCTGTTCCAGTGCCTGAACTGGAACAGTTCTCTGTTGCTGCTCTCAGACCACAGGAAGCATCTGAAGGGAGCCTCAGAATTATGCAGGCCTACCCAGTATTAATTAATTCTCCCCAACTCCAGTTTGGCATTCAGTACTGCTCAGAAATCTCTGGTAGATTTCTCCCACTCACTTAGAAGCAGTTCAGTTCATGCAATGGTGCACTATGCAAGGTTCTGGAAACACAACTGTAAACAAGACAGATTTCATTCCTGACTTGTGAAAATTCTATAATACTATATTTATTTTTCTCATGAGTATAAGTACTTACTTTGTTCTGAACTGTATCTGGAGATATGCATTTCTGTGGAAGAATTAGGCAAAATGTTTTTATTAGTTACTTAGGAGAAGTGTTCTTCCTCTGATCAAACTCTTCTCACTCTAAGCTATGCTTCTTGCTTACCAAGGTGGTCCTCCTGATATAATGCATTGTTGTTCTCACCCATTTTCCACATCTCCCATCAGCCCTGTTTTACCTATCTTTTCACACTACTTATGCTTTGAGGGCTCACAGGCATTGAGGATGGGAAACAGGGAGGGAATACAGCTGATTAGAAAGTTGTGGGAGAGAAACAGAAAAATCCAGGAAAGAGAGACCTTATGGCATAGAAATAGGTCTTAGCTTTTATGAGCTCCATCTCTATTTCATCGACAAGTACTACTCTGTATTTGTCTCTTCTTATCATCTCCCCAAATTAAGTCACTAAAAGTCTCCAATTCTTTTTATATAATACTAGATACTGGTGTTTAGCAACATACTGTCTTCTCACTTCTATTTTTTTTTTTTTAAACTCAGGTAATTTCCCTTGGAGCTCAGGTAATTTTCTTTTAAAATATTCTTATTACTTTTGCTAAACTCTGTGATTTTTTTTTTTTTTTTTGAGATGGAGTCTTGCACTGTCACCCAGGCTGGAGTGCAATGGCGTGATCTCGGCTCACTGCAACCTCCATCTCCTGGGTTCAAACAATTCTCCTGCCTCAGTCTCCCGAGCGGCTAGGCTTACAGTTACCTGCCACCAGGCCCAGCTAATTTTTGTATTTTTAGAAGAGACAGGGTTTCACCATTTTGGTCAGGCTGGTCTGGAACTCCTGACCTTGTGATCCGCCCGCCTCGGCCTCCCAAAGTGCTGGGATTACAGGCGTGAGCCACCGCTCCCGGCCTGTGACTTTTTCTTTGACATTATTGATAATGTAAACCTTGGGAGTTAAAAGTGCAGGGACAATCACTAATAGGTCAGAGATTCTTTGACTCAAGTATTGAAACAGATTCCCAGAATATTGGCAAAGTCTCTAGCTGTTTGATGAGTGAGATGAACTCAGACTGAATCTTGGCATCCCTCCCTCCATGGTTTTCACAGGAAATCTTCATTTTGACTCATTATTACTCACCACTTTGCTTACGTCGTGCCCATCTTGTTAACAAAATAGCCAGGATGGCAAGTCCCAGTAGAGTCAGGATGACAGCCAAAGTTATTTCTGAAAACAAAAACTCACCTGTAAACATGCTTATTTAGACCAGGAAATTACCAGAAACAACTTCTGATCACCTCTTACTATCCACCAGATAGACTTTTTTTTCTTTCCCCTTTCTGCTACTTCAACTCCTTTATTCTTTTATTTGCCGCATATTACTGTCCTCACATTCCCGCCCCTGCCCATTTTTAGCTCTTACATTGGTTCTTTGGTCGTATACTAAGAACCTCAGATGCTGTGTACCCTTGGTTTAGAGTTGGAAATCTGACAGATTTCCTCCTCAGTTGAACCCTTTACTCCCCAGGCAGGAAGAATGTTAAAGGGAATCAGTGGTCTACGAAGCTATCCACTGGGGTATGGGGAAAATATTAGAACTTCTATTTTCTGTGTAATTTTAACTCATACCTTTAAAGTTGCAAGATTTTCTGTGTGTGTGTATATATATATATATATGGCTATAAATAAGATTTATAAATATACTTTTATAGGCAATGCATACTCAAAACATTTTTATGAGTGAGTGATCAAAAAACTTTCAGCACCTTGACTGAAGGGTGTTGACTGAAGGTGGTTTTATTAATGAAAGCCACAGCAAAGGACAGAAATTTCTTGTCACACAAAAACCTTTCAGTCATCACTTGCCAACCTCCTGATGATAAGATGGATATTTGCGAGGTTTGTTATTGTGGTTAGTAGGATAAAATATGCTGGGATTGCTTAACTTGTGTTTGTTTATGTGTCATTGATCTGCATTCAATTGATGTAAGATAGAGTCTTGCAGTCATAGGAGAGAAAAATCTTAGACAATATCATATGGTTATAAAGGGCAGTGGCTATGAAGGATCGGGGGAGAAAAAAAAAGAAAACAGAGAGAGAGAGAGAAAGGAAAGAAGAAAAAAACAACCATAAAACTGCCTGTGAAAGTAAAAACTCTGAAGAATATTGAGCTCTGAAAGACTAGGAAAGTAGATTACACCCACATTAAGACTACTTCAAACGAACAATAGGTGAATCCATCTCAAGATATAATAACACACCTCCAACCAGGGCAGATTAGGCATTTGTCTACTGAGTCTTCTAGGTGTTTGGTCCTGTGAGAAAATTCTCCTGCCAAATCAACTTTTGGAGATTTTCTTCTAATGTACCTCTAAAATGAACAGCAAGTAGTCAATATGCCCTCTATTATGTGAATTTTTTTTTCTAGTGTTAAATAACTCATCGGGGAGGAAAGGATAACTAGATGGTGTACTCAGTACTACTGTATATTCCTTTTCTTCCTTTAGTGTCTGAAATGCCCTGTCTATAGGGCGGTTAGAAGATGGTCCACCCTATTAATAGGGAAAATGAGAGGAAATCATTATTTCTGAGTTGAGGCAGATTATATAGAGTGACCATGCTACAGGAAGTGAGATAATGGGCTAAGGAATTTTTCCTAGTGCTACGGAGGATGGTTATTTTCTTTGTTCAGTTTAAACTCTAGAAACCAAAGGAGAAACCAGCACTATCAGCCTAGAGCTTAGTTAACTGTGGGTTGTTTCCCCCAGGCTTCCAGAGGAATCAATAAGAGTGAAAGAAAAAATACTGAATTTGAAAAGGAAGCAGGCAAGGAAGATAAAGCAGTTGTGTTAAAGTCCCTAAGTCCCTAAGAGGAGACTCCTGAACTACTAGAGTTGAGGAAGCCTCAAAGAGGGAGTTAGTCCATACCCAAGACTGTCATTTTCCATGTATTGTCTTCATCAGGTCTCGCATCATCTGGATTTCTTTGTCAGAGAGAGATCAAGGTAAAACGAAAAACTCAAGTTCACTGTTTCTGAGCAATATGAACTTGGGTGTCAGGGAGGCCCTTGTAGGCAGAGATGCAGAGGATCACTGAGAAATTGTGTGGAGCAGATTGATCAGACCTAAGCAAATGATGGGAGTGTGGCCTGTGAAGGTTCTAGAATCTGTGTCATAACAGAGACTTAGAACATTAGTGAGGCAGGAGAAAAGGCAGAGGATCAAAAGGCTAGGAAGATTTAATAATGCTTTGGAGGACCTTGAACTTGTATAGGATACTGGAAGGGAACTCACTCTTTCTGGGCTTTAGAATTATTTCTAGTTTTTCAGAGATTTTTAAGGCCAGAGATTGTACATCATTAATCTTTGTAACTCTTTTTTTTAATTTTTTTTGAAGATAGAGTTTCACTCTTGTTGCCCAGGCTGGAGAGCAGTGGCACCATTTCGGCTCACTGCAACCTCCACTTCCTGGGTTTAAGCAATTCTCCTGCCTCAGCCTCCCAAGTAGCTGGGATTACAGGCATGCGCCACCACACCCAGCTAATTTTGTATTTTTAGTAGAGATGGGGTTTCTCCATGTCGGTCAGGCTGGTGTCAAACTCCCTACCTCAGGTGATCCACCCGCCTTGGCCTCCCAGAGTGCTGGGATTACAGGCGTGAGCCACCGTGCCCAGCCTAATGTTTGTAACTCTTGAGGCAGAGAACCTTCCACAGAATAAGCATTTTATAAATGTTTGATAATTAAAAATGAGAAAAATGACTATATTTAAAAAGAGGCAGACTGGATAAAGAAAATGTGGTAAATATACACCGTGGAATACTACACAACCATAAAAAATAATGAGATGATGTCCTTTGCAGCAACATGGATGGAGGTGGAGACCACTATTCTAAGCAAACTAAAGCAGGAACAGAAAACCAAATACCATATGTTCTCACTTATAAGTGGGAGCTAAACAACAAGAACACATGGACACTAAGAGGGGAACAACAGACACTGGGGCCTACTTAAGGGTGGAGGCTAGGAGGAGGGAGACAGCATATCTCTTGGGTTTTATGCTTATTACCCAGGTGACTAAAGAATCTGTACACCAAACCCCCACAACACACAGTTTACCCATATAACAAACAATTACATACATGTACCCTTAAAACTAAAAGTTAAAAAAAGAAGAGCCTTGAAACAAATGAAGGTGAACAAAGGAAGTCAAGTTGTTGGAGTTAGATAGCAAGAAGAAATCCAGTCCAGAGGTCTATGGTGCTAGGAAGAGTGAGCCAGTAAATGGGATCTCATAAGCCACTGTGGAGAACAAGGAAGAGTAATAACACCTTTTATTGAGTGTCTATTGACTACAAAGTTCTATAGTGGGTACCTTATAAGCACAAACTTGTTTAATCCCTAATAAACTGTACGATGAAATTCTTTGAGATGGAGAGAGACACTAGAAGTTACCCAGCCAACAAATGGCAGAGTTTCTGACTCCAAAGCCCACACTGTATTCACAAAGCCACATTTTGTTTCAGTCTTCTATGCATCCTGTGGTGGTGATTTCTAAGTTAAGAAGTCAGTCACTTGAAGAGGAAGGTGATGACTTCTAGTTTTAGGATGCTCCACCTGCCAAAAATAATCTCAAAATTGTTGAGATTATTTTTCCATAAGTGTTTTATGCATACTTATGGAACACCATCAAACATACAAATATATGAATTATGGAAGTACCAAAAGAAGAAAAAGAGGAAGGGGCAGTAAGCTTAATCAATGGAATATTATCTGAAAATTTTCCAAATCTTGAGAGGGATATGAACATCCGGATTGAAGACGATCAAAGCATCCCAAGCAAGTTCAATTCAAAAAAGACATACTCCAAGATATATTATAATCAAATTGTCAAAGGTCAAACACAAAGAGAGAATTCTGAAAGAAACATCATGTGTAAGAGATCTCCCATAAGTCCATTACCAGACTTCTCAACGGAAACCTTGCAAGTCAGTATTTTTAACCTGCAGAATTGCTATTTATTTCTATAATTTCTCCTTCTGATATTCTCAAATTGCTGAGACATCATTCTTATACTTTATTTTTTAGACATGTCTTATTCTGCTAATTACAATGTCTGGGCTTCTTCAGAAACAGTTTCTTTTTATTATTTTCTGTGCATGGGTCATGATTTCTTTTCTCTTTACATGCTTCATTATTTTTTGCTGAAATCTAGACATTTTGAATATTATAATGTTGCAATTTAGAAACCAGATTTCCTCCCTCTACAGAGTTTGCTGTTGTTGCATTTGTTGTATTACTACTTGTTTGTTTGTTTGTTTAAAGATTTTTCTGATCTAATTTTATAAAGTCTCCATTCTTTCCTGAATGTAACGTTTGATGTTTCTGCCCGGTTAGCTTAGTCATTAGCTAATGATTGAACAGAGACAATGCCTAGAACCAAAGCAAACACTATGCTAGTCTGTGCCAAGGAACTCTGTGTGTGTGTGTGTGTGTGTGTGTGTGTGTGTGTGTGTGTGTTGAGGTACACCTTCAACATTCAACCAGTCTCACTTTTGCCCCTCCAACAAATGCCCAGTGAATTTGCGCCCAGTAAGGTCCAGGTCACCTTCTTCCTACAGGATTTAAAGCAAACCAAGGGGGATCTTGGCAAGCTTTCAGATGACCCTTATAGATATATAGAGGTTTTCCAGACTTTCACCCATATATTTAAACTCTCCTGGAGAGATGTTATGCTACTTTTGAATCAGACCCTGATGGACACTGAGAAGCAGGCCGCTCTGCAAGCAGTAAAGAGATTTGGGAATGAGCTTTGTATCACATATGGCATCAGGGAAGGGAGCAAACATTATCCAACTGGAAGAGAAGCAGTAAAAGTGAATGACCCTAAGTGGGATCCCAATGACAGGTGGAAGACTGGAAGAGGAGACGCTTTCAGATGTGCATAATGGAAGGCTTTTGTAGGACTAAGACCAAGCCTCTCAATTATACTAAGTTGTCCATGATCGACGAGGTATTTGATGAAAATCCTGCTGCCTTCCTGGAGAGACTAAGAGAGGCCTTGGTAAAGCATACCTGTCTATCTCCTGATTCAGTAGAGGGACAGCTAACCCTAAAGGATAAATTTATTACTCAGGCAGCTCCTGACCTCAGGAGGAAGTTGCAGAAACGGGCCCTGGGACCGGATAGTACATTAGAGGACCTTCTGAAAGTGGCCACCTTGGTCTTTTATAATACAGACAGGGAGGCCCAGGAAAGAGAGAGGAAATACAGGAAAGACACAGAAGCTTTAATGGCCACCAGGCAAGCCCACAAACCCCAGAATTCCCAGGGTACACCTGTTAACTACTAAAGATATGGCCAGAACAGTTATCTCATTCTAAAAGTTTATCCACTCCCATACAAGGTTTAATTTCTTTCACCAGGGTGAAACATCTCAGGGTACAATGTTGTTGTTAGTATATTTCACTTCTTATCTCTGTAATCTTTGGCACTAATTTTTTTTCCTTGTATAATACACGTATTTATTATAGTATGTATAGTATGTATGTATGTAGTTACAGTGTGTATAACTTGGGTATACATACCCAAGTATATATAATCCATGCATACTTAACCTTATAAAACTTGTTTTTTCTCTCACACCTGGAAGCCATCAACCTCCAAATGGTCAGGGAACCGGAGCCTTGGATGATGGCTCCCCTTTGCTAGGAACCCTTATATAGACCTCTGGGAAGAATCTGACTGCCGTTTTCCCCAAAACGATGCCCCTATCAGCAGGAAGCAGCTAAGACCCGTCATCATCCATATTCGAACAGCAGTTAGATGTACCTCTTCAGACAGGGGAGGTGATATAGAAGAGGGGCAGGGAAGTGCTGGTAAGGGAAGGGCATGGTCCCTGGCTAAGGCTCCACCCCTGGGCCTGTGCCCACAGACCTAGGTAAGGACAGACACTCCTGCCTTCATGCCCAAATGTTGCATTTCCCAAGACCACCCTGGCCTGCCATGCCCCCATCCTGTGCCTGTAAAAATCCTGAGACCCTAGCAGGCAGGGACAGAAGCGGCTGGACGTCAAAAGGAACACATCAGTGGAAGAACACACAAGTGGCTGGATGTCAAGAGGGACACATCGGTTAAAGATCATGCCAACAGGAACCAGCAGATGCTGGCATGCTGGCAGGCCATTGACCAGCGGAACAAAATGGAGTTTGGCCAGGGCAGTTGGAGGGGAACCCAGCTGCTGAGCAGCCTGACTCCAGGGGAAAACCACCTTCCCACTCCATCTCCCTTCTGGCTCCCCCATCTGCTGAGAGCCACTTCCACTCAATAAGACCTTGCTCTCATTCTTCAAGCCCACATGTGATCTGATTTTTCTGGTACACCAAGGTAAGAACCTGGGATACAGAAAGCCCTCTGTCCTTGCAATAAGGCAGAGGGTCTAATTGAGCTAGTTAACACTAGCTGCCTATACATGGCAAAACTAAAAGAGCACACAGTAACACATGCCCACTGGGGCTTCAGGAACTGTAAACATACACCCCTAGATGCTGCCGTGAGGCCAGAGCCCCACATCCTGTCCGTCTGTATGCTCTCCCTAGAGGTTTGAGCAGCAGGGCACTGAAGAAGTGAGCCACTCCCGCTGTTGCAAGCCCTGTGAGGGGGACAAGAAGACCTTTCCCATTTCAGTATCTTAGAAGGTGGTAACTGCTGTGAAAAGTGAAAAAGCAAGTCAGTGAAAGAGAACTACTGGCAGCTGCAGTGGGATTTCGATTTAAATAGATTATCCTGGATATACCTCTGTGAGAAGGCAATACTTGGGGGAAGTAGGGTAGACATCTAAGTGGATTTCTGAGTGAAGAGTTTTCCAGGCAGAGAAGACAACTACAGCAAAGACCGTAAGATAGGAATGTGTCTGGTGTTTTCAAGGAATATGAAGTGGCCAGTGTCACTGGTATGAACTGATCCAGGAAAACAACAGTAGGAAAATAAGTTAGAAAGATAATGGATCAGCCAGGCATGGTGGCTCATGCCTGTAATCCCAGCACTTTGGGAGGCCAAGGTGGGAAGACCCCTTGAACCTAGGAATTCAAGACCAGCTGGGGAAAGATGGCAAGACCCCGTCTCTACAAAATAATAAAAAAATTAGCCAGGCATGGTGGCATGCACCTGTAGTCCAGTTACTCAGAAGACTGAGGCAGGGGAAGACCCTTTGATCCCAGGAGGTTGAGGCTGCAGTGAGCTATGATTGTTCCACTGTACTCCAGCCTGGGCAACAGAGCAAGACCCCGCCTCAAAAAAAATTGTAACATCTAGTGAGCTACTGACAGGACTTTGATTTTAACTTGAATGAAATAAAGAGATAAGATGGGTCATTATGTAGGCAAATGACACGTTTTTACCTATGTCTGCATAAAGACATAAAACAATTTTGCTGCTGTGTTAAGAAAAGACAGTAGTGGGAGGAAAAGAAGAAGCAAGGAGACTACTGTTAAGAGTTATCCAGGCAATCATTGACAGTACCTTTGTCTAGTTTGTGAACTACTAAAGTGGTGAAATGCATTTAAATTTGTAGCAGTATTTTCCCCACTGGGGATAAGGGAATGACTGCCAAAGATTGCCAATACCTAGGCATTAAGGAGAACATAAATATAAGTATGGAATTTCATGCAGACCAGGGTTAAAGGGTCTAAGGATACACCTGAGACAATGTCTGAAAACTAAGGAAGGGAAGAAAAGTGAACAGAAATAGAGTTAAGTGGGAGTAGTTGTCAGAAAAGAAAGTAATGTCTAATTATACAGCTGTTTATTGATTAACAGAGGGCTTCTAAAGGGCAGTTATTTAGATAAGAACTTCTTAGATGAGAGTGCAACTTCGCTGAGCGTAGTAGATTCTAATCTTAGGCCCTTTGCCATAGACATTTTCTTTCCCTGATGATTTTTTTAAATCCATATTTTATATCTGCAAACACATTTTTCTTTCCCTCAGGTTCCAGAATCTGTGTCTCAAGCCTACGTGGCTTAGATGGGATCTAACAAGAAAAGTCTGTCCCCTCTCTGGGTTACTGGGTCCAACCAGTTGGCAAGTTTTAGCTCTGATTTTGTTTCTTAACTTCTAGAATAACAGAAATATAGGGTATCTTAGTATTTCAATGACAAACTCTGACAAAAGGATATATATCAGAGGTGGGGACTTTCAACAAATATTGGACTAGAGCAAATAAAACTGTCATATGCAGTTGGCATTATTGTGTATTTAGAAATTGCAAGAAATACTACAGCTAAATTTTTGGAATTAATAAGTTTACCAAGGTTATTAAATACAAGAATAATATCCAAGAACCAACACATTTTTATAAGACAGAAATGAAGAGAACATACAATTTGAAAAGAAAATACAATTCACATTATCATCAAAATTACACACTACCTAGGAATACATCTTTTTAAAAAGTTCAAAATATGTGGATTAAATGTAAAAAAACTTTGTCTTATAGATATCCAGATATAGCTATAGCTCTCTATAAATAAAGAGGCATGTATAGTTTTTAGAGTAAAAATAAATACATATTTTATTTTATTTTATTTGCTTGCTGCAAAACTTTTGTGACATATTGGCTCCTTAAGCAATATTTGGAAACAGGGTAATACTGTTGAGAAAACAAACATATTACATTTAGAGATTCGAAATGAGAATATATACTTTACAAATTAAACCACATACTTTGACATTTTCTTTAAAAACTACATTTATAAATTGTATGGTAACACCAATGTTTATCTATTCCCTGGGCCAATCTACTAAATTATCATGATATGGATAATAATCCTCCATGGCAATGTCAAAGATGGTATTTAAATAGACATTTGATAGATAGATAGATAGATAGATAGATGATAGACACACACATAAAATTTGTTTGATTTTGTGTTTTTATTATTTCTATACCTGGAGTCAAGGGGTTAACTGAGCTAGGTGCAATCTGATTCTTTTTATTCTAAGTAAAATAGCCAGGCACAGAAAGACAAATACTGTGATCTCACTTATACATGGAATCTAAAAAGTCAGACTCATAGGAGTGGAGAGCAGAATGGTGATTACAGGCTGGGGAAGTGGGGCGAATATGGGGAAGATGAGAAGATGTTGGTCAAAGAGTACAAGGTTTCAGTTACACAAGAGCAATATGTTTTTGAAATATATTGCTAATAATAATGTATATTTTACAAATTACAAAGAGGAAATTTCAGTCTGTTAACCAAAAAAAATTGATAAGCATGTGAAGTGATGATTATGTTAATCAGTTTAATTCAATCATTCACTATATAGCTTAATTTAATAATTCCACTATATATAATATATAGATTTATTTTTATACTTTTATATATTTGTATATAGTTATATATATCTATGAATATGTAGTTATATATTATTTATATATAGTTACATATTAGTATATATATTTATAGTCTATAAATATATGTAATATATAATATACATTATGTTGTACATAATATATATGCTGTGTATGAAATATATATAAATAGTTTTGAGGTACATATATCTGTCAAAACTTGATATTATGCCTCATAAATATATATATTATTTTCTATTATAAAAGAAAATATTAAATATAAATCAAATTTATTTATATACCAGTAAAGCATATAAAATTATATAAATATTGAAAACAAACCTATGTAAATATAGATATACCTCTTTATTTAAAAGACTTCCTACAGCCATGGATTGGAAAACTTAATATTACTAAGGTGACAATATTATCCAATGTGATAGGGAGATTCAATGTAATTCCTTACCAAAATCTTAATGGCATTATTTTTTGGATAGAAATAGAAAAATCTCTCTTAAAATTCATGTGGAACATAAAAGGACCTCAAGTAACCAAAACAATCTTGAAAAACAAGAAACAAATTTGCAGGACTCTCACTCCCCAGTTTCAAAACTTAATACAAAGTTACAGTAATCAAGAGCACATGCAGCACTGGTATAAAGAAAAATACAGAGACAAATGGAGAAGCATTGAGAGGCCAGAAGTGAACTCTCAATTCATTTACCACGGGTGCCAAGACCATTCAATGGGGAAACGGTGGTCTTTGACAAATGGTGTTGGGAAAATTAGACACCCACATGCAGGAAGAATGAAGTTGGATTCTTACTTTAAGCCATGTGCAAATTCAATCAAATTGAACCAAAGACCTAAATTTAAGTGATAAAACTGTAAAACTCTTAAAAGAGAACAAGGGAAAAATCTTCATGACTTTGGATTAGGTAATGGCTTCTTTAAAATGACACCAAAAGCACAGACCACAAAAGAAAAATTACATAAATTGGGCTTCGTAAAAATTAAAAACTTTTGTGCATCAAAATACACTTATCAAGAGAGTGAAAAGAAAACCTACAGAATTGTTTGCACAGATGCAAAGATTCTAATTAAAACAGTAAGATAAATCTAGTAAAAAATACATATAATTAAGTGTAGTTTAATCTTAAAAATATAAATTTTGTAATACATTAATACAATTATGAAATTATATACCTAATATAAAGCAAAAACAAAATTAAAAACAAGAAAATAAAAACTATATAATCTTAGATGGCACAAACATTTTAAAATAAAAGTTAATATCCACTCATGATTTTAAAAATAAAACAACAGCAGCAACAATATCCTCTAGCAATGTAAGAATAGAAGAAAATTTTCTGAGTCTACTAAATAGTGCCAGGGAAGAATCAAAAGCTAACATCAATAACAGTAGTGTTGTATTGCTCACTTTACCCCTAAAATCGAGAACAAGAAAAGAATGTCCTCTATTAGTACTTCCAGTAGTGAGGAGGACCTGGCCAGAAGAATAAAGCAAAATAATTAATTAATTAAAAGTAATAAAGATTGGAAAGAAAGAACACAGTATTGTCATTCACACATAATGTGCTTAAGTACTTAGATAATCGAATGGAATCTATAAAACCACCAAACTTCTAGAATAATTAATCAGGGATTTTAGCAAGGTCTCAGTGTACAAAATTAATAATGAAAATAAATTTTATTTCCATACATTAGTAATTAACATTTGGAAAATGAATATATCACTTACAATAGAATCAAATAGTATAAAATTCTTAAGAATATAGTTAACAAAGTATATGCAAGATACCTACACTGAAAACTGCAAAACCCTTCAGATAAAAATTTAAAAATACCTACATAAAGGAAGAGACCTAACAAAAGTGTTGTATCTAGACTATTTGAAGAATTTCTTCAACTTCATAAAAATATTAAATAATGCAACAAAATAGAACAAAGATTTGAATGAATATTTCATAAATGAAGATAGATGACTAAAGAATTCAACATAATCATCAGGAAAATGCAAACCAAAATGAGTTATTACTTTACACTCACTGACCTGGATATAATTTAAAAGGCTGAAAATATCAATTATTGGTTATGTGGAGTCACTGAAACTCTCATACATTGCTTATTTGAATGTAAAATAGTGCAGCCACTTTGGAAAACTGATTTGTAGTATTTTATAAAATTAAACACATACCTACTCTTTGACCCAGACATTGTATATGGAATGAAAAGTATAAAAGAAATGAAATATGTGTCCACAATAGACTTGAAAGAGAATGTTCATAGCAATTTTATTAATAATAGCCCAAACCTAGAAACATCCAGGTATCCATCAGCAGAAAAATGAGTGGAAAAAACTGAAGCATATTCATAAAATGAAATTCAACTTAAAATATTAAAAGAACATACACAGCAATATACATGATCTCAACATTATATTGAATGAAAAAAATTAGATACAACAGAGCAAATAGTGTATTATTACCATATGAAGTTAATGAAAAGGCAAAACTAAACTTTGATGATGGGAATCAGACTACTGGTTGCCTGTGAAAAATTAATGTTCTTTGTTTGGATTAAGGTATGAATTACTTGGGTGTATTCAATTGTTAATACTTATAATCTGTGCTTGTAAAAATACATGTCTGTAAATTATACTTCAATCATTTAAAAAAGAGAGATTACAAAATTTTGAGTTTGAGAGTAGAAATTCAAGCCTAATCTTCTTGAGCCTTTTAAGACTACTGGGTTGAAAGGGAGACAGACCCTAGCTTACTTTATAACACTGATGATATAGATTTGAGGTGAGAGAAAAAAAATATTTTTCATCATCCTAATGAAATTTATGTCTTCTCACATCCACAATTTTTTTCAATCTCATGTCTTTGGAAAATCCTGCTTCGCAAATATGGAAGAGAAAGCTATACCCTCCCCTCTAGGAATCAGAGGTTGTCCTAACGTCCTCTTTCACATCATTCTCTTCTATAAACCCAGTGTCCTTAAAATTAGTTAGGCCTATAGTCAAGTAAGCCTGTAATAATAAATATAGTAAGTGGAACTGCCAACCCTGTCTTTCCTAATCTTTTGAATTAGCAAAATATCCTTTATCCAAAGGGAAGAAAAGAAATCCTGTGTCAGGAGGACATAATTGCTATCTCTCCAGAAAAGAATGCCAATCCATGTATCTCTCTCTTTGTTTTTTTAGAGAGAGAGACAGGGTCTCTCTCTGTCACCCAGGCTGGAGTGCAGTGGTACAGACATGGCTAACTGCAGCCTCTATCTCCCAGGCTCAAGCAATCCTTGTCCTCCTGCTTCAGCCTCCTGAGTAGCTGGGACTACAGGCATGTGCCACCAAACTCAGCTAATTTTTTGATGTGTGTAGAAATGGGGCCTCACTATGTTGCCCAGGCTGGTCTCAAATTCCTGTCCTTAAGCTACCCTCCCATCTTGGCCTTCGAAAGTGCTCGGCTGTTGGGATTACAGGCTTGAGTCACCACACCAGCCTCCCTCTATCTAGAAACAGAATAAAGGTGAGGGGGTAGGTAGGCAGGATTAAACAAACAAAAAACACTGTCCTCTGTGAATGATCGATTCAACCAAATTAAAGACCATGTATCAAAACCCTGCACCATTCTCTCTACTGACAATCACACTCTTGCATAGTCCCTCACACTATAGCAGGAGTGGTCTGTATGACCAGTTGACAACAGCAGAAATTATGGTATGTTACTTCCTATATTAGGTCATGAAAACATTAAAGTCTTCCTTCTTCTCCCCCACTTCCCTCCCCTCTTCTCTCTCTCTCATCATCTGTTCTGGGGGAAGTCAGCTGCCAAATCTTAAAGACACTCAGGTGGCTCGGTGGAGAGGCCTATTGGTGAGGAACTGAAGCCTTCAGTCAACAGCCATGTAATGAGCCTTCTTGTAAAGAGACCCCCAACCCCAGTCAAGGATTCAGATGGCTGCAGCCCCAGCCAATGGCTTCACTGCAACCTATGAGAGACTGAGCCAGAGCTACCCAGCTAAGCTGCTCCAAAATTCCTGACCTGTAAGATAATATGCAATTGTTGTTTTAAGCCACTAAGTTTCCAGGTAATTTGTTACCAGTAATAAATAATTAATTCACTAAGAATCTGTCATAAGTGTGGCTTCTCTCTGGATTATGATTACTCACTTACTACAGTGGTTCCCAAAATGCAAGCCTAAGCTGAATCCTAGTAGTTCTTCTTTGAATGCAGCAGCTTTGCCCTTGATACATGACTTTCTCTCAGTTCAATTGTATTAAATATTTGAAACACAGAAATGCCTGCCTGGACCCTCACCATGAATCCCCATCCCTTCTGATACCGGAATCTGGTTGCTATTTCTAGAACATTTCTCATCAAGACATTATCCTAACTTATGGTTTCATTGCTAATTCATAGACACTTGTCCCATTATAGAGATCTAGTGATTTCCATGTGAGATTTTTGCCCTCACACATGCCAATTCCCCTTGTTCTACCTGTTTACCTAACATCAATCAGATGTCAATAATGGAAAAGAAAAAAATCAAGAAGTAGGAGCTTAAGACACTGTGTACTGGCAGGGCTATTGCTTATTTCTGCCGTACCCCTCTTTCTTGTCATCTCTTAGTTCAGATGCCTTGGCCCTGTGCATAGTGTGCTCTATCTCATGAATCTGAAGTAAAGAGAATCAAAAGGATGAAGAGCTTTAAATCTTTTGACAACATTTAAGAGAGAACAGGAAATTTTCCTCCCTTTTCCTGGAAGTCTTTGCTGATGAATGAAAAATTGGGTTTCCTTTATGTAACCTGTCGATGGGGAGGCAAAACTTGTCCAGAAAAAATAAAAATGTTCTCACTGTGCTATGTTACTAGAATTGTGATCTGAAGCCTGGAGCAGAACTTACCTATGCTACTCATCTCAATCCTTTTAGGCAGTGGCACTAGGAGCCTTACTCTGTTCAAATTTGGTGCCTTCCTACCGTTATGGAAGGAAGCTCTGTATTCTCCTTACTTTCTCAACCTTTGATCCTAACAGAGGCAGTTTCTTTTTCTTTTTTTTTTTAATTGATCATTCTTGGGTGTTTCTCGCAGAGGGGGATTTGGCAGGGTCACAGGACAATAGTGGAGGGAAGGTCAGCAGATAAACAAGTGAACAAAGGTCTCTGGTTTTCCTAGGCAGAGGACCCTGCGGCCTTCCGCAGTGTTTGTGTCCCTGGGTACTTGAGATTAGGGAGTGGTGATGACTCTTAACGAGCATGCTGCCTTCAAGCATCTGTTTAACAAAGCACATCTTGCACCGCCCTTAATCCATTCAACCCTGAGTGGACACAGCACATGTCTCAGAGAGCACAGGGTTGGGGGTAAGGTCACAGATCAACAGGATCCCAAGGCAGAATTTTTCTTAGTACAGAACAAAATGAAAAGTCTCCCATGTCTACTTCTTTCTACACAGACGCGGCAACCATCCGATTTCTCAATCTTTTCCCCACCTTTCCCCTCTTTCTATTCCACAAAACCGCCATTGTCATCATGGCCCGTTCTCAATGAGCTGTTGGGTACACCTCCCAGACGGGGTGGTGGCCGGGCAGAGGGGCTCCTCACTTCCCAGTAGGGGCGACCGGGCAGAGGCGCCCCTCACCTCCCGGATGGCGCGGCTGGCCGGGAGGGGGGCTGACCCCCCACCTCCCTCCCGGACGGGGCAGCTGGCCGGGCGGGGGACTGACCCCCCCACCTCCCTCCCGGACGGGGCGGCTGGCCGGGCAGAGGGGCTCCTCACTTCCCAGTAGGGGCGGCCAGGCAGAGGCGCCCCTCAGCTCCCGGACCGGGTGGCTGGCCGGGCGGGGGGCTGACCCCCCCACCTCCCTCCTGGACGGGGCGGCTGGCCGGGCGGGGGGCTGACCCCCCACCTCCCTCCCGGACGGGGCGTCTCGCCTGGCGGGGGGCTGACCCCCCCACCTCCCTCCCGGACTGAGCGGCTGGCCAGGCGGGGGGCTGACTCCCCCACCTCCCTCCCGGACGGGGCGGCTGGCCGGGCGGGGGGCTGACCCCCCCACCTCCCTCCCGGACGGGGCGGCTGGCCGGGCAGAGGGGCTCCTCACTTCCCAGTAGGGGCGGCCGGGCAGAGGCGCCCCTCACCTCCCGGACGGGGTGGCTGGCCGGGAGGGGGCTGACCCCCCCACCTCCCTTCCGGATGGGGTGGCTGCCGGGCGGAGACGCTCCTCACTTCCCAGACGGGGTGGCAGCCAGGCGGAGGGGTTCCTCACTTCTCAGATGGGGCGGCCGGGCAGAGACGCTCCTCACCTCCCAGACGGGGCGGCGGGGCAGAGGCGCTCCCCACATCTCAGACGATGGGCGGCCGGGCAGAGACGCTCCTCACTTCCTAGATGGGATGGTGGCCGGGAAGAGGCGCTCCTCACTTCCTAGGTGGGATGGCGGCCGGGCAGAGACGCTCCTCATTTTCCAGACTGGGCAGCCAGGCAGAGGGGCTCCTCACATCCCAGACGATGGGCGGCCAGGCAGAGACGCACCTCACTTCCCAGACGGGGTAGCGGCCGGGCAGAGGCTGCAATCTCGGCACTTTGGGGGGCCAAGGCAGGCGGCTGGGAGGTGGAGGTTGTAGCCAGCCGAGATCACGCCACTGCACTCCAGCCTGGGCACCATTGAGCACTGAGTTAACGAGACTCCGTCTGCAATCCCGGCACCTCGGGAGGCCGAGGCTGGCGGATCACTCGCGGTTAGGAGCTGGAGACCAGCCCGGCCAACACAGCGAAACTCCGTCTCCACCAAAAAAATACGAAAACCCGTCAGGCGTGGCGGCGCGCGCCTGCAATGGCAGGCACTGGGCAGGCTGAGGCAGGAGAATCAGGCAGGGAGGTTGCAGTGAGCCGAGATGGCAGCAGCACAGTCCAGAGGGAGACTGTGGAAAGGGGAGAGGGAGAGGGAGGAGAGGGAGAGGGGGAGGGGGAGGGGGAGGGGGAGGGGGAGGGGGAGAGGGAGAGGGAGAGGAGAGGGAGAGGTCTAATTTACAAATACAAATTCTTATGAGAAAAATTTTAATTACTGAGGATGTTTGGTTTGAAAAGAAGATTAGTTACTACCAGTATTAGTACTATTGCTACTATCACCTCTGCTATTAGTGTTACTATAAATATTGGAAGCTAAAATGAACCAAGTGTTCATCACAGAGAAGTCATAGTATTAAGTTCCCTATACGCTATCTCATTTATTTCTCACAATAGTCCTGTGCTGAATGCCATAATTATTTGCATTATTATGAGAGTTAGGTGTGCCTGAAAGAAGCAAGGTAACGTCACCAAGATCAGAGCTACTAAAGAAAGAGCAATTATCAAGATTCAGATCTTTTTGACTACAAGGCCTGGGATTTCAATCACTAGAAATAAAGGTGTATGAGAAGTGGATGGCCCAGTTATTACATAAACCCACAGAAAATGAAAATGAAGAGGCTTAAATGAAAGTGGACACACCATGACTGGAAATACTATAGGACTTAATTTTAAGAACAAGCAATAACGTAACAGGCGTTTGAAGAATAGGCAGGACCCCATCCTGAAAACCTTACCCTGGAACACTTTCAGGTGTGACAGCCATCCTGGCTAGACAGTCCTAGCCTGGCTGGAATAGATGGTTACTGAAGATCTTGCCCAACCCTAGCCTTCTAGGACTTACACATCGTGTATCTCCTAGGACGGACCACAGTTTTACCTAACCTTCCAGTTTTCTCCCTCTTGTTTTTCTCCATTCTGCCTTCCCAGTATTTGCAGCTTTCCTCCTTTTTTTTTTTTTTTTTCCAACTATACATGCAGTGGCTGTTTCTCTGGATCCAGATGCAGCTCATCCCAACCTCATCCGATCTGAGGGTAGAAGATACACTTCTTCAACGGAGAATGTTCCCCGAACTGGGATGCCCCCACACACCAAGGACAAGGGGAATCCAAAACCATCTTCAGTGTTCTGGGTTTACCACAGGGGAGACATTACTTTACCACAGGGGAGACAGACATTACTGGGAGGTAGAAGTAAATAATGGGGACAGAAGTTGGACCAGGAACGAGATGAGCTCTGGGTGTTTGTTCAGCACAATGAAGAGAGAGTGGTGGTTTGTAGAAAGTCCAGAGAAGAATTTCTGCATGGTGACATGTGAAGAAGGAAGGGTCATGGCTCTCACTTCCTGCCCAGAGACTCTGTCAGGAGCCTCCCTGTCCCCCTAGAAGGTTTCCAGGACAGCAAGGCTGGAGACGTGTCTTTTCACAACGAGGTCGATTAGTCCCACATCTATTCTCTTACTGGAATCACCTTCTGTGGGATTTTCCATCCTTATTCTAGCCTTCAGAGTGCTGGCACATCTGTGACCTTCTGCTTAGATCATCATGAAAATTGTCCTGATTCTTTTCCAGTTACCCCTGTAACTTCTTTAACGAGTTGTGATAGAGATGTTGCCCAGGAAGCTAATGTTCTATTAGCATAATAAGCAGCGAAGTGTTGGCACCTCTGCTGTCTCCACTGGAGCATCTTCTAGGTACATTCACCAGGAAAGCTGTCCTTGGATGGTGAGTAGGTCAGTTTCACTAGGTGTGATTTCACTTTCTGTCAAAGAGGAAGAGGCAGAAAGTGAAGTGAGAGAACTGGAAAATGTCCAGGGAGATTTCCTCCGGTGCTGCTATTGGGGAAATACAGTCTCTTTGTGGGCAGCAACTATTTCTCACAAGAAAACTCCAAACAAGTTCATGGATTTCTCATCTGTTTTCATGCTGAGTGTGTGTTGAAGTATATAATTTTAAAGCTACATTTACAGGGAAATCTCTTCTTACTATTTTTGTTATCAAATATGGAGGAGGGGAGGCGTTTGAAGGGAAGTATTGCAGTAGAGTGAATTCTCACTTCCATTACCACTGTTGGAGATGCATAGGAATCTGTCCAAGTCCTTTAATAGCTCAGCGTGTTTGCTCTTCAGGCTCTAGTGTACAATCAACTGCTAATCTTGGACTTTGACAAGGGACGGAGAAGGCTCATGAATAATTGTAAATAATTGGAGGAGGAGCCCAAGCCTTCTGGAAGGAAAGAGCCCTTTTCTTTAATAAGTTCTCACTGGTCAGCAAGTCCAGAATTGTGTCCTATGTGAGAATGTGAATGAAAGAGGAGTCAATGTTGCAGTTTATACTTTAGGAGAGAAAGCAGTAAAGTAGAAATAAAGAAACATCTGTACCAAGAGTCATTGCTAACATTAACATTCTTTTTCTTCCTGACCTGTTCTGCCCACTGTTGAGGGTTTCCCTTGTCCTTGCTGCATGTAAGACTTCTCCAGCTGTTTATCATCAAGTTGTCTTCAAGGATATAGAATATGAGCTTCTCCTGCTTTTTGTTTGTTTGTGTATTTTTGTTTGTTTGTTTGTTTTTTCTTTGACGGAGTCTCGCTCTGTCACCAGGCTGGAGTGCTGTGGCACCATCTCTGCTCACTGTAACCTGCACCTCCCAGGTTCAAGCGATTCTCCTGCCTCAGCCTCCTGAGTAGCTGGGACTATAGGCATGTACCACCACGCCCAGCTAATTTTTGTATTTTTTTTAATACTTTAAGTTCTAGGGTACATGTGCACAACGTGCAGGTTTGTTACACATGTATACATGTGCCATGTTGGTTTGCTGCACCCATCAACTCATCATTTAAATTAGGTATTTCTCCTAATGCTATCCCTCCCCGCTCCTCCCACCCCACGACAGACCCTGGTGTGTGATGTTCCCCGCCCTGTGTCCAGGTGTTCTCATTGTTCAATTCCCACGCAGCCATAAAAAAGGATGAGTTCATATCCTTTGTAGGGACATGGATGAACCTGGAAACCACAATTTTTGTATTTTTAGTATAAGAGAGAGGGTTTCACCGTGTTGGCCCAGATGGTCTCCATCTCTTTACCTTGTGATCCACCCGCCTTGTCCTCAGAAAGTGTTGGGATTACAGGCGTGAGCCACCGCACCTGGCCGAGCTTCTTCTGTTAAATGAACCCTTTCTTCCTGATGATGGAAGAGATCCCCTTAGTTTTTCTTCTACAGTATTTGCAGATCTGTAAACCACAAGTGCCTCTAACAATCTGTCCTGTAGATGTATCTCCTTGGTGAAATTTCACGTCACACACTAAGTGGCAAAGACAGTATTCGAAGCCAGGAAGAATCAAGCCAGAGCCTAGTCCTAATTTCACTGACCCTAAAGGGAGGCTTACATATTTCATCAAGAAATAATCAAGGCAGGACAGAGGTAAATAAATGGTGATAAAATATTAATAGTTATAATCAAATGGACATGGTGGATGAGAAGGGATTTCTGGACATGCGAGCCCTAAACATGGGGGTAACAACAAAACAGGAACAAATGGGGTGGAACTGTGGTATAGAACACGAAATGTAACAGGTTCAGCCTTAGACATTTTACTTTTTTATACACTTAGGACATTCAGCATGAGGTTCAAGAGGAGTTTTTACTATCTCTTTTTCAGAGTCTAAATTCATATTTTTTCTACAACAAGATTCTTAAACTTGTCACTTCTTTACTCATTTTAATGGGTGTTTGTCCTTCTAAGCTTAGAGATTGGGGAGCAGTGGCTGCAGGTGGACATGGTAGAAAACGTGAAGGTGGATGGTTGATTGGACTCAGAGCTTTAGACCTGTCAGGGATAACAGTGTCCATCTTATTTTCATTTGTAGCTTTGAGTAAATCAATAAGTAGTGCAGGGTCTCCAAGTAGCCTATCCTTTCTGGAAAAGTGAATTCACCACCTGGCTACATCAATTAATTCTTTATTGCTGGACTACTCTGGCACTCCCATTTTTAGTAAAGTTTATGAAGGTATAATAAGACATTCCAAAAACAGAGTGACTCCACTGCAAAAAAGAAAGACCTGAGGGCAGGAATTATGTCTTATTAAGGATTGTATCTCTAGGCCTTAGCATAGTACATTCAACAGGTAAGATATTCAATAAATATCACTTTATGAGACAATTCATGCATTTTACAAATGTTTATTGATAATCAATGTATGTCATTTTTACAGGTTGTGGGGCTAGACAAGAAGGAAAAAAATCACTGTCCTCATGGAAGTTAAATTGTACTGACAAAGGAGGAAAATGTCAGGGAGTTAACAATTCAGTCTCTGTGGCTTCCTCCTGTCCTCTCCCTGAAACTGAGATCCAGCCAATCTGCACATTTATTCTGAGAGTGGCCCCACTTTAATGACTACACCCAGCTGTCTACACACCAGGAGGGGAGGGAACTGTATCCTGAGGCACCAACCCGATTACCCACCCAACAGCCACAGGGACTTCCAGTGACTGGGGCATCATCCTCAATGCCACCAACCCCTCTCCTTCCTGTGGCTTTTCTAACTGGAACTGGAACTCAGAAAGTACATTAATCACCAATTTGGGAAGCTATAGGAAAGTATGTTTTCTAATATACAGTGAGAGAATGTGACTGATAAAACCAATTTTCTTGAGACTTTCTCCCTGGAAAGTGAATATATGTATTCATAGGGCCTTCACAAGCACAGACTAACAAGCAAAGAGCTACATTCACTGGGAAGGAAGACTCAAAAGTAAGTGAAAAATAATAGTTAACCTTTAGATGTTGTGCAATAAATTATTTTTAATTACATTAAATCAAAATAGTGTTAAAATATTTTCAGGTAAACCTAGTATATTTACTAATAAATTTAAGTCTTCATAAATATAAAGATAGATCAATGTAAATGTAAAAATCATTTGTTAAACTCCAGAGATTATATAAACAAAAGGTGAACCTAATGTAAAACTGTGGACTTTAGTTGAAAATAATGTGTCACTATTCTTTCATGGGTTGTAACAAATGTGCCACACTAATGTAAGATGTTAATAATAGCAGAAATAGGGGGGAGAGAGGAGGGATCTAGGAGCTCTCTGGATTTTCCATTTTATTTTGTTATAAATCTAAAACTGTTCTTAAAAATAATGTCTGTTAATTTTTTTTTTAAAAAGGAAAGAAGCACTGATACATGCTATGACATGGAAGAACTCTAAAAATATTAGGCTAAGGGAAAGAAGCCACATACACATACACATACACAGATAGTTTATGGTTCCATTTATATAAAATATTCAGAATAGAAAAGTTCATAGGGACAGAAAGTAGATTACCTGGGGAGTAGGGGGTGAAAAATGGGTAGTAACTGCTTAATGGGTATGAAGTTTCGTTTAGGGCGATGAAAATATTCTGGAACTAGAAAGTGATGATGATGGTCACACAGCAATGTCACATATACAATACCACAGAACTGTACACTTTAAAATGGTTAAAGGGTTTTATTTTATGTTATGTATTTTACCACAATTGAAAAAAATGTTTATTAAAATTAATGTGTAAACATTTGTGGAAGAATAATGTGTAGTTTCTAACATTTATGTGTTTAAATTTATGAGTTTAAAAATAGAAAAAAAAATGATGGCCCAGAAGAGCAAGTTCAGAGTGCTGTTCATGAGTGATCCGCATGGGACCGCGATGCCTCTGACGTCTGCCATCCTGGAGAGCAGCAGAGCGTCACTAGCAGGTCCTCGTCTTCTCACTTCATAACATTCTTTCCAAAAGTCTTGTTGACATTCTTCTGTCTTCCACATATAGTTTATCTTCTTGAACTCATTATAACTTTAAAATATTTTTACTGTGTTACATGTACTGCTTATATTTGTTTATTTTATAATTATTAATTTTAAATTGTGCACTTTATTTTGCTCTAACAATAAAATTGACATGTTCGTATAGATGATACATAATTTTTCGCTTGGATCGGAAAGTGTAAAATTTTTTTCCTGACTCAATTTCCTGTATCAACTTTCTCAAAAAGTCTGGAGGAAGGATTTTACAACACTTCATAAGATTTTCAAGATTATATTTTAGTGATCAGATTTTTCTCCCCCTTATGCAGCTGTATTTTCTTTCACTTTTTTTTAACTGTATATATATATTTTTTATTTTCTCAGTTCCACCTATGTGGACAATTAATTGTCACCATCTTAAATAAACTGATCAGGCCAGGTGTGGTGGCTCATGCCTGTAATTCCAGCACTTTGGGAGGCCGAGGCGAGTGGATCATTTGAGGCCAGAAGTTTGAGACCAGCCTGGCCAACAAAGTGAAACCCCATCTCTACTAAAAATACAAAAATAGGCTGGGCATGGTGGCACATGCCTGTAATCCCAGCTACTCATGAGACTGAGGCAAGAGAATTGCTTGAACCCGGGAGGCAGAGGTTGCAGTCAGCTGAGATCATGCCACTGCACTCCAGCCTGGGTGACAGAGTGAGACTTTGTCTCAGAAAAAAAAAAAAAAAAAAAAAAAGAAAAGAAAAAAAAAAAAAAAAAGAAACTGACCAAATCCTTGATTATTCCTTTCATTTCTTCCTGTAGGCTAAATTGTATTTCCCATGGGATTTTCTAAGGGTCCTTGATTATCAGATGTCAGATTGTGATTGATAGGCCGGATCTCAGAGAACCTGGAACAGGATAGGTCTCTGAAAAGATCAGTCTCCAGCAGATTTTCCTGAGTAGAATTAAAACACCTTGAGTTAGTACTTCAATGATCATGGCAGCCCCCTTCAAGCAGTTAGAGAAATGAGAAATGATCAGGACTCAGAATATCATTCTGGTTTCCAGAATCCCAGATTGTTATTTTCCTGATACGTTGGAGATGTTCTTGTGGGTACAGAAAAAATGTCCAGAGAACCTACATTAGGGAACCAAAGAATGAAGCGGGGTGCAGAGTCCCAGAGAAGGAAGTTTTGGGGAAGGTGTAGATAGGGCACTTGCCAATCATGTTATAAGAGGAGAGGTATTCAGAGGCACGGTCAGGGGGATTCTGACTTGTTCAGGGGCCACCTTCAAGGGGATGGGGCTTGGAAGAGAGGGGATGGCCCAGAACTCATTTCTTTTGCAATCCATTGCCTAAAACTCACTGTCAGGTGACACAGAGATGACTCTTTCTTTGCAACATGTGCTTGGCAACCTCCGGGACCCATCGCGCCCTGTTCCCAGTCTCCACCTCTCAGTACCAGCTCCCTGACAGGAGTTCCCTCTGGCCCATAGAGCAGATAGTCAGATCTCTGTGGGATATCTGGCTGCCTGAATGTCCATGGATCACACGCTTGTTCTGTTCAGAAGAAATCAGTCTCAGGTGAGCTGTGTTTGAAGCCAATGTCACATTCACTGTAAAGAAAGAGAATCCATTCTGATAATTAATCAATATAATTTCATTCTATTAACAGCCAAACAGGAAGACAAGTGTTTCACGGACATAAGAAATTTAAAGTGGAAGCACTTTCTAGAGCACACAAAACAGCCTCCCTAACACATGAGAAGTCACCAGCAACACAGAAATCACCAACAAGTAGGTCACCACATTTTTAAAGATCATAGGAAATTGTTCACGCCAACAAATCTCAGTGAACCTCAGCTCTCAGCCTTGAAAACAAGGATGGCTGTACTACTCACTTTTTTCTTCTTCTTCCCTAACCAGATCACTGGGGAATGGGCAGCAGGAAATCAAATCATTATCTTTTAATCATTTTGCTTCTATTACAAGTGGAAACACTGACCTCATGCATCACTGAGCCTGGATTGCATGATAAGCCCTGGGCTTTCCTGTTTCTCATGTTTCCTTAGTTACTGGATATTCACTGACTGCCTCCCATAGGTGACTTGTGAAAAGGGAGGCTCGGGGAAGTACGCAGTACGGTTCCCACTGCAGTGTGCTCCGCTGTTTCTGTTTCCCTGACTTACCTCTTTTCAGCTCCTCTTCCTGGGCAGGCCTACAGCCACAGCAAGAAGCAATCCCCAAACAAGCAGTGTTTTCCACAAAAACGTCATCCTGGACTCTAAAATGGAAACCCAAGAATCCCTTGAAACTGTGAAACTGGGACAATATTAAGATTGTACTTTTCATCTGAGCAGCTTCTAGGCTGGAGAGAAGGGAGAGAATTTGGCCTCCCAGGAAGCAGTTGGCCTGCTCCTCCCTGCTCTGGAGATGCAGAGGAGAGAATGCAAGTATTTCATGTTTGCTCGTCTCAGAAATGTACACATGCACAGACAAGTTTTCCCTTCTCTCTTCCAACTATATCACACAATCACTGGAATGACTTGAGGAGGAAAGGATAAAATTACTCAAGCCGCAACCATGAAGATGGTATTAATAAAAATCAGTTTCTAATCCAGAAGAAAATCCTCCATGAGGGGGAAAACACAAAGTTCTGTAATTTAATTGTTTTCACATCAGAAGAAGAGAATTTAAAGAGAGAGAGTGAAAACAGGGTCAATTACGAGAATTTAGTGTGTATCCAATGATAAAAATAATTGCAGGGCGCTAGTTGAGGGTGTCAGAGAGAAACTCAGAGGAGTAGAATCCCTGGGTGTCCTGAAAACCAGCTTTGCAGAGGATAGCAGGAGACCTCGTCAGAGAGCAGCAAATAAAAATCACAAAGGAAGAAGAGCAATACAATGAGTAAGTCTGAGTTGGTCTTCATATTTATTTTCCAAACCTGAAGGAACATAAGGAATCACCAACCTGAGAGAGAAAAAGTTGCGATTTTCTCCTCGCCCAAAAAGGGGATGCTGATGGAACAAGTGACGTCCACAGCGGAGATGTTTGTGACCCTTAGCAATGTCTGCACGTGGAACAGCCCGTGGCTGCCTTGAGTCAGGGCCTGGGAAGATGATGGTATCGTCTTTCCTTCCATGTCCCTCCATGGCACGTGGGGCTGTGGGAACCACCCATCTGAAGAGCACATCGGCTGCATTTCTCCATCTTCTTGCCCCTCCACAGTGATCAGTGGGGAAGAACCCAGACCTGGGGCAGAGAAAGCAACCAAAGCCTGGGGTCCTTTCAAGTGGATGAGTGGGCAGCAATTTCACTGGGAGGAAAGAAGGGGATGTGGAGGGCTTGGGGAAGGGAGAAAAGCTTAAGGGGGATTGCACTCCACTTAGGGATGAGGCTGGCTGGAGCATTTTCTTATTTTGTTTGTTTGCTTATTTTTATTCTTTGTATTCCTAAATCATTCTGGGATGATTAAGAGGTAAGGTAAATGTTCAAATCCAACATTTATTCTGTCCCTGAGAACAAAATAACTTCGGCCAGGGCATGGGTCACATGGACAGGATTAACATACGGAGTAGGAGGATATTCTCAAAAATCGAAACCTTATAAATATCTACGTCCAATGGCAGAAAATACGAGGCTCATGAAACTTCTCAACATGCGCTCCCATGGCTAAACGTGTTTATTAATTTAGAATCAAAATCCGTGGGAGAAACACGTAGCATATCCAAGACTTGGGCCTATATGTACTCAATGGCATCTGCTAACCTTGGACGTTTCAATTCTCACACACACGGACAGTGGGAAATGATGCTGCAGGGAGTGATTTCATCTTTTCTCCCCTGTCCCTGCCAAAACTGTCAATATTTATAATTTTGGTTTACACAGTGGATCCAGTTTAGTCTTCAGATGATTACAGTTTCTAGAATTTTATTGCATTTCTCAGAATTCTAATAACACACTGTGAAACAATGAGCCTTTTGTAAAATATGTAGTAAGATACTCAGATTTCCTTAAAGATATGGTCAATTTTTGAAGATACTGGAAAAGATACAAGTTATATGCCCAAATAATTAAATTTCATCCATTTGAGTTTGTGGATTTTAAGTAACTATGACAGTTTCACACACTGGAGGATTTGATATAAATTTGATGATGAATAAGCATTAAGAAAATTTCAAATGTCAGAGAAATTGTCCAGGAACTAGCATATTAAAGTGGCAGGAGCAGGTATTGAATACAAAATATCTATCTAGAATTCTTACTTACCACCTTCAGATCCAAACTGGCCTCCTGGTAGACATCATCTTTTTCAAAAAGGCAGCGGTACTGCCCGTCGTCCGAAGGTCTGGCACTGAGTATCTGCAGGGTCAGTCTGCCCTCGTCAATGGCGTCACTCACCAGTACAGTCCTCCCTCTGTACTCTGCCATCTGCTCTCCAGCCACATGGTCCCCATCCATATACACATGCACAGCAGGGTAACGGTGGGATCGGTCCCACCTCACCTCCATGCTCTGTGCATTCGCCTTGGGGGACAGGTAACAGGTTAGCTGTATATCTTCTCCCACTCTGACGAGGATGGGCTGGGAAGGTCCATTCACTTTTAAAGAAGCTGTTAAATAGAGTGGACAAAACACAATGAAAGAATCAAAATGGAACCAATAATGTCATCTCTAAGAACAGCTCCATTGGAGTTTAGAAACCATGAGCATCCCAGGGTTGCTGTGAGGCTCAGGGTCATCCTTAGGTGAGGTGGGGGTTTCATGGACTCAGAATAGAGGTTGCTCTTCTTTAAGGAGGAATCATTCCATGATGTGTGTCAGTCTGAGTAAAACAGTAATTGAATCCCTACCTGCTTCTACCTGTATTTTTTTCAGTTTACAGACCAATAATAAAATAATTTTGCAATTAAAACTCCCAGATAGGCTGGGTGTGGTGGCTCAAGTCTATAATCCCAGCACTTTGGGAGGCCGAAGCGGGTGGATCACCAGAGGTCAGGAGTTCAAGACCAGCCTGGCCAACATGGTGAAACCCCGTCTCTACAGAAATACAAAAATTAGTCGGGCATGATGGTGGGTGCCTGTAATCCCAGCTACTCAGGAGGCTGAGGTGGAAGAATTGCTCGAACCCGGGAGGCAGAGGTTGCAGTGAGCTGAGATCATGCCACTGCACTCCAGGCTGGGTGACAAAGCGAGACTTTAAAAACAAACAAACAAAAAACACCCAGAATAAAGTGAACAGTTTATAAATTTGGCCCCAGATGCCTCTGTACCTGACTCCTTATGTAACAAACTGCAATTTAACTTAGTACGTCAACTACTGAAAGCCTAACTTAGGTTGCAGTTTGTTACATAAGCACTCAGGTACAGAGGCATCCTGGGGCCAAATTTATAAATTGCTCATTTTATTCTGAGAGTTTTAATTGCAAAATTATTTTATGAATAAGCCTAACTTAGGAGCTAAGGCTAACTTAGGAGTACACTTTTGTAATAAATAGCTGAGTAGCAGCTGCTGCACTTCTGTTAGTTGCAGGCAGCCAACTGTTGAAACCCTGTTCAAATCGGCAAACGCCAGGCTGCAACCAATAGAGCTGTCTCTGTACCTCACTTCTGTTTTCTGTACCTCATTTCCATTTTCTGTCCATAAATGCTGTCTGACCAAATTGCTGCTTTGAATTCTCTGAAACCGTTCTGATTCTGAGGGATGGCTTGTTTATGAGTCATCCTTTTCTCAGTTAGACTCTGCTAAATTTAGTCTGTCTAAAGTTTTTCTTCTAACACTTCAATTCTGTATGATTTTAAACTACTTCTTAATCTGTCTTAAACTACTTCTTAATGCCTCAGTTTCTTAAACTGTAAATTTGCTATACAACTACCAAAATCATAATGTTTCAGAGTTGAACAAAATAGTTTGCATTAAGTGCCTGGAAGACCCTGCAGCGTGAGCAGAGGTGCACAGACCTGTGAGACTTGAAGGCGTTGGAGCCATCCCCACCCTCTGACGTGGTAATAGGGAGGGGTTTAAAAACATGTCTCATGTGGACTTTTGGTAATGATATTTGAAGAAGCTTTCCTCTAGGTGGACTTTATAGTACCTTGTAAGTCTGGTCCAGCCGCTATATTTTATTTCCCCAATGCTCCACATAGGTGGAGTTATAGACACACACCAGTTGAATGTCCTCAAATAATTTTGAAAATTAAAATTAACATTTTAAGATCAATAATTGGGGAAGTCGGCAAAGTACAAATTGTGAAACAATGATGAATGTAAAAAAGGGGTCTAATTCTCTCACTGTGCAAAGTGGGGAAAGATGTTCTCTGAGGGCTTTCCTGGGCCCAAGCTATATTACATTTTCCATTCTCATCAGGCCCTGCCCGTGCCATTTTTTCTCTATTCTAAATTAAGTGTCGTCCTTTTCTGTTAAATGATAAGAATGGTTTTGCATAAGGTGTGATCATTTATAATAGAAACACAAGCATAAAATTGTTGGTTCTCTGCATAGAGTCACTGGCCAAAGGCGTTAACATCCCATTATGTCATTGGCCGAAAACTGCCAGCTACCTTTGTAGAGAGGAAAGTCCCTGTCAACACAATTTGAATTTTCAGATTATTACCTTCCATTCCAGGTAACAGTTGACTCCCAGTTATTTCCAGCATTTTGTTTGCTTTGTCCTGTAATTTTACCTAAAACAATATTATTTTCCTCTCCTATGTATCTATTAAAGTCTGAAGACAAGAATCAGAAAAAATGGACTAGGGATTAGTTTGGGGCTGTTTCTGCATCCACATGGCTTACGGTAAATTACTTAATAAAACAGACTGTTTCCTCATCTCCTTTATCCATATGAGGATTTTATTCCCTGTCCGTGTGTGACCTGTGCACATATTAGATCTTAAACTGGCTTGCCCTGCCTGACATAGGTAATTAAGAGCTAAAATTGACTTCAATGGAGACTGAAGGAAGCAAAATGTAAGTATGGAGATTCAATTAATTTGATGCATTACAGATACAGACAAAACTCCTTTTGTCCAGAATCCAAGTAAAACTAAAGTTTAAAGTGCTAAAAAAATCATGCAGCCCTGTTTGTTAATAATTGATGTTCTACTAGAATACAAGCTCCTTGGGAGCCACTATGCCTAACCCACTTTTTTTTTCTTTCAATTTTAAGTTCCGGGGTACATGTGCAGGATGTGCAGGTTTGTTACATAGGTAAACATGTGCCATGGTGGCTTACTGCACAGGTCATCCCATCACCCAGGTGTTAAGCCCAGCATCCATTAGCTGTTCTTCCTGATGCTCTCCCTCCCCCATCCCCCAACAGGTGTCCAGTGTGTGTTGTTCCCTGCCATGCATCCATGTGTTCTCACCAATCAGCTCCCCCTTATAAGTGTGAACATGCAGTAGTTAACCTCCTTTTTCTATACGGTTTTGTACACAGCCTTCCAGACAATTTTGTGCTGAAATATATTGCTTTGTTTTGTTTTGGTTATTGTTTGTATGTTCTGAATGCCTTCTGAATATCCACTGAAAAATTAATTCCCTTCTGGAGCGTGAAGTACACTGAATTATACACTGATTCCTTGAAACCTGATAATCTCATCATCATACCACATAATCCTCTTTCAATCAGCATATTCAATTAATGCACTATCTCATTTCTCAAATATGCTAAGTTATATCTAATCTCTTAGAACTGGACACTACATTAGAGATTAAATTCAACCTGTTCACTTTAAAGATGAGAAAAATAGAGATGAATGAGCTGACAAAGTCACACATAAGTAATTAAGGACTTGCACTGTTAAGTTAGATAGATGTAGATTAGAAGGTAAACATCACCATTTCTTCCTGATTTTTGGCAAACCATGTATGTCTCTAAGATTGTTTCTTAGCTGTAATATGAGGATAAAGCAATTAAACTTTATAATTATTGTAAGAAAAAATGAAATAATTCCCATAACATATTCAGCATCGTGCCTGGCATACAATTAATATTTTTAAAAACTATTATTTTTATAAATGAAAAACATTATTTGTAAGACTACAAGCAGTGATTTCAGTCTTAGGACTTCCATAGAGAGCTGGGTGTCCCATCATTAGAGCTCACCTGCAAAGCTTCCGTGCCCAGAGCCCTCCTCTCCCACCTGACAGGAAGCAAAGGGAAGCTCCATCTTTCCGTGTTGGTTAATTGTGGCCCCGGAGGTTACCATGACTTAGGAACAACAGGACATGGGGTCGTATTGTGTGTGCTGGGTCTCCAGTGGGTCTCAGAGAACTCAGAGGAGTGACTCTTCTCCTAAAACCTTCTTGAGAGACAGACTTGTGTCAACCTGCCCCAAACACTGGCTTTACTTCCTGATCTCAGAAGGGTAAGATACACAGGTGTGTGTCTCTCCTCAGATTGTGGAGTTACTTTGCGCCTTCCAGGGACCCTTCCCTTTATGTTTATGGCCTAATGGGGTTGAAGGTGCCATAGTAGACTCTGGTAGAGATTGGGTTGTGTTTGTTACCCTGATTTTCCTCAAAAACTCTTTTGTGGGCTGAAAGGTGTGCTTAAGCTCACCTAAAGCACACACATGGATACACATTCCTGGAGCAGGTGACTTGATGGAGAGCAAGGAATTGATGGAAAGAGCACATAAGGGATCCACGTTCTATGCACCTAGGCAGGGAGGCAGGCTGGTTGCCTTGGGCTGGGAGAAGAGGCCATAAAAAGGAGGGAGCTAGTAAGGAGGTAAAGGGGAAACTCAAAGGGGCTCAGCCATCGGCTGGTTATGTTTTAAACCACTTATCTCAGGTGCAGCAAAATAATACCCTCAGTCCAACTCCGAGATTTAAAAAACAAAAATTAGGCTGGGTGCAGTGGCTCATGCCTGTAATCCCAGCACCTTTGGGAGGCCAAGGCCGGCGGATCATGAGGTCAGGAGATCGAGACCATCCTGGCCAACATGGTGAAACCCCGTCTCTACTAAAAAAAAAAAAAAAAAATTAGCTGGGTGTGGTGGCGCATGCCTGTAGTCCCAGTTACTCAGGAGGCTGAAGCAGGAGAATAGCTTGAATCCAGGAGATGGAGGTTGCAGTGAGCCAAGATGGCGCCATTGCACTCCAGCTTGGGCAACAGAGCGAGACTCCGTCTCAAAAAAAAAAAAAATGCCCGGCGTGGTGGCTCACGCCTGTAATCCCAGCACTTTGGGAGGCTGAGGTGGGGGGATCACGAGATCAGGAGATCGAGACCATCCTGGCTAACACGGTGAAATCTCGTCTCTACTAAAAATACAAAAAATTAGCCGGGCGTGGTGGCGGTTGCCTGTAGTCCCAGCTACTTGGGAGGCTGAGGCAGGAGAATGGCCTGAACCTGGGAGGCGGAGCTTGCAGTGAGCCAAGATCGCGCCACTGCACTCCAGCCTGGGCGACAGAGCAAGACTCCGTCTCAAAAAAAAAAAAAAAAAAAAAAAAAAAAAAAAAAATTGCTACACTCACAGTATCCCAGGTTGCACTCAGAAAGTAACAGCTCCCTCCCAATAGTGATTAGCTTAGGGGTGTACTGGGGTGAGGAGCAGGTGCAGGACCCCATAGCAGAGTTGAGCAGGGAGGTGCTGGGTGCAACCCAGGTTGTCATAATGATGCTGCCCTTGTTCACACTTGAAATGTTTTCAAAGGGCCTCCAGGCCCCGGCCAGCTGTCTGCTGTCATCCCCCACACATTCTGAGGCAGCTCCCTTTCCCCTCAACACATAGAACAGAGATGATGCCATGCTTCCTATAGGTGTCCATCTGATGCTCACTGGAATCTCCATGAGCCCCCAAAGTGTCAGGTAACACAGCTGCAACCTCCTTGAATGAGGCCATTACTTTGCTGGTCTCCTCTGGTATTTAATGAACATAGGACCTGGTAAAATCGTGCCTCAGTTTTTCCTCTGGGTCACATGGTCTCGTGGTAGCTCCCCTCCCTCTGCTGGGGAGGGCAGAGGCTCCCTCCACAGGTGTGTGCCAGCACCTCGTACTTACCCAGCTCAGTCTGGAGTTTCTCTGGAAAAAGAACAAGAATAACATATTAAGGAATTTGGTGTAAGGGAAAGGAGAGAAACTATTTTTTAAAAAAGAAAGCAATTTATACATTATATAGGGAAGCTCAATTCATTAAAAAAATGAAATGCAGAAAAATACTGATTCTTTCCCACAGATTACCCAATGATACAGCTTTTTTTCCTTTTCTCTGCACAACAAAAATGCTGTCACTTCTATCTCCCCATGATTCTGTTGGTTTCTTCTGATATTTACAGCATAAATACTTAGCTATCAGCATGAAAATAACATATGTTCCTTTTATAGATACACAGAAAGTACAAAATTATATGGACATAAACAGTATCACCTAAATTACAAAGTAGAGAGACGAATTATATGTAATATACAATCAGCTTCATTTAAAATTAAAATGTAACATTAACTTTAAAGTTTTTTTAATCTATCCATTTATATGAATAACTGTATACTTATATCCAAATGTGGAGGGTATCCTGAAAGTTTTAGTGCAGTTATAAGTTATTTAAGGCCAGTAACTTTTATGTGATTGGAAATGTCAATTTATAGGTAGATGTCATGTTTATCATTGAATAGTGCATCATGAGGATTTTTTTCAACCATTAAAATTATTTAAAAATATCTTTTTATTAATGCTATAATGTATAGTAAGACAAGATTCCACACTGTACTGTTGTATTGGGGGGTTGGTTGTTTTTGCTGCTATTTATAAATAAGGCCATAATTAATATTCTATTATGCAAATAGTTGTCTACATCTCTGATTATCTTCATATGATAGATTTCTAGAAGTAATCAGCACAAGACAGCATAGGAAAACATTTCAGTTGAAGAAATATAGCTTTATTTTCTTTACAATGCAATGGATACTTGTGAGTAAAAACAATCAATGCAGAAGAAGGAAAGGTAGAACTCAAAAATAACGCAGGCGCCATAACAGCTATTCAAGTAAAATGTAGTGCGTATATTTCCAGTCATAAATGTTTTATGGCTTTCAATACATATTGCTATATGATAGATAATGTCTCTTGATAAAAATACGAGGTGCTATGGTGCAGTCCCTGGGACCTCTCCTGCTGATCTGAGCATGTGGGTCCTAGAGGCAGAGCACTGACCTGGGAGGCTGATGACCGACCCCTTCTCCTCAGTGAGGACGGGGTTGTGGACCAAGCAGGACACAGACTCTGCAGAGGCGTTCCTGACCACCAGGGTGGCTTCCGCATAGAACAGGCCATCTTTATCTTGGATGCGATGCTCAGACACGGCCAGCAGCTTCTCTCCCCGGATGTCTTCCCAATACACCTGGGGCTCTGGGAACCAGCCCCTTGCAGTGCACACAAGCTGGACTCCACTCTCCCCAGGTCCCTCCATGTGGATGCTAGGGGCAGACCCCAGACCTGCAGAGGGAAGCCACAGCTCTGACACCCAGAGCCCACAGAGGCAGAAATCACAGAGGCTGAGATCCCAGTGACGTTGCTCACAGGGAGGTGGCCGGAGTTCAGGAGTCTGAGGAGCAGAAAGTCGACCTCAGTCTCCCCATTCAAATGTGAGTTCAGATACACTTTATTTGTTCCCCAGTCTGGGTCTTTACATTTTAGCATCTGACCAGTACTTTTCTCCAGATCCAGAAAGGGGAATCGGAGAAGGGGGACATCATGACATTTTGCAACGCCTCTAGCACTGCAAACAGAGATGAGCTGTAATTTATTCATTAATTCCTCTGTGCCATGAACTCTGCCTTTTTCATCTTAAAATTATCTGTATTGGGCACATTGTCTGGTATTTTAGATGATGTCTTGAACTCCAATTTGATTGAAGATTTAACACAAAGTCAGAAATCACTCCCCAGGGGCCTGTTCTTCCTGCATCTTTTGCTGGTGGCTGTGATCTTCGGAAGCAAGTGGATAAACGGGAGCATGTGAAATGCGAATCTCCACGAGGCGTTATTTGTAGCTAAATATTCTATTCAATGGGTAAGATGGTTTTGAGAAATCCTAGTTTACAACAGTTTATGAAATCATGAATTTTTTTTCTCTATTTAACGTGAAACTCCCACACCCAAACTAAGGGGACTATATTTTCCATAAATGGGAATTCTGTCTTAATCACTTGCTGGTAAAAGAGAGATCCACTCCCTTCCCTTGGACCCTTAGAAAATGTGTGACTTATTTGTAAATGTTCCTGATATTGAAATACATCAGTACGTTCCCTGTCCCCCCATGTCAGAAATATATGTATTCCTCCATCCATTTTGAATCACCTTGAACACAGTAACAGTAATGGATGTTAAGAAAAAAAAAGGTATTAGGAAACAGCCTCCCAGGGAAGTAAAGAAGGAAGCAGTATCAGCTGGAGACGTTAACATCTCCAGAGAACTATTTTCCCCATTTGCCTTAGTAATTGGATTTACTTGATTTTCTCTTTAGAGCATGGAGAAGTTAGCCCTGTCAGGGAATCATATGATAGTTTACTTTTCATAAGACAGATCCATTCTTCAGTTGTCCCCTTCTTCCCTACTCCTTCCTGCTTAGCTAATACAACAGCAATATGAAGAACCTTCCCATTCACAGAGGGTGTGTCCAAAAGCATCTGTGAGTCCCCAATTCATTGAACACTAGTATATAACAATCTCCAAAGCACGACATTCTTAGCCTTTTCAGTCTTGTTGATAGCTTTCTAACTGAGGGCATTTCACAAGGAAAGAACATTTTCACGTCTCAGTTTCTGCATAGATGGGATTGGGTAGAGAAAAACCAATGCCCTGAGATACAGATGCCGGACGTCAGCTGGGCTCATTCATGCAGCAATTGGTTTGCTCTTGCGCACCAGCCTTAGGTAGCACAAATGTGTGTCTCAGCAAAATTGCTAAAGACTGCATGTCATGGATTCCAAATAATCCTCAAGAACAGTCAAAACTGTGCAAATTAAATTTGGGAAAATATTTTAACACTAAGCTTGAAGACTCCAGAACCACTTATTTTTAAATCAATCAGGGTAGAGGACTAAGCATTAGGAATTACCTTGATGATTCAAAAGGATTTCCTCAACTGTCACAAAGCTTACCACAAATTAATATATCTCTGCCTCTTGAGACCCTGTGTCTTTCCCCAGATATTCACCTGCTACTTTGAGCAGCAAGCTTGTTTCTCCACAGTAGTTCCCATCCTGGAAATGGCACCAGTATTGTCCATTGTCGGAGGGCTGGATGTTGTGTATCTTCAGTGCCACATTTCCCTTTGCAATGCCATTCTCTATCCACTCTACCCAGCCTCTGTACTCCTCCATCTGCATCTCAGTCACCTCCACTCCATCCCTGTGCACAAACACAGGTGTGCTGGGCTCTGAGCGGTACCACCTCACCTCCACGTGCATTGTGGTCCTCTTGGGGAGTAGCTGGCAGGTTAACAGGGCATCTTCCCCAACCCCGGCCAGGATAGGATGAGCAGGGCCAATGACTCTAAAGTCTTCTATAAAATAAGTGAAAAAGAGGAACGAGGAAATGCCAATCAGAAAATCATATGCATGCTTTGGGGTGTCCAGCCTGTCAAAATGGAGGCAACTAGAAGAGGGAGAGATATATGTTTAATGTTTTAGAGAAATCCAGCATGATGATTTGCACATCTGTTTGTTACAGAGTCAATTTTGTGTACTGAAAACAAATGCAGTTCAAAAATGTGGGTGAGGTTGCTGTCTGTCACCTACCAGCTATGTGATTCGGTGGCAAATCTATTACTCTTGGTAAGATTTTGAGATTTGAAGTCCTAATTTCTTCATCTTCAAGATATTAATACCAGCATACCTGGGTTGTTTTTATTCTCAAGTAAATTATTTATTCCTTGAGTCATTTATTCTCATGTAAATTGACTTTTTAAATTGGAAACCTTATTCTTGTTATTAACATTTTATTTTCCTGAAGTTTAGATAATAAATCCATTTATTAGCTTTTTTTAGCCTTTCAGGATTCCTCTTCTCTTAGATATAAAAACTGTTTTTTTTTTGTTTTTTTTTTGTTTGTTTTTTTCCCGTCTGGAGTTGGCAGGAGGCCAATTACTGGGACTATGTACAATGCAGTTTTCACAAGGACATTTTGTGCTGGATTAAGGACACTGGTTTGTCTAGAGATTTTTGGGTCTTCCAAACAAATTCTAAGACATGTCTGATCTCTTCCTTGTTATCTGCAAATTGAAGAGATGTTTAACAGTTATGTATGTTATTATGTTTGATCATTTTATGTCATGTATGATATGTTCTTTCTCATTCTAAATGCTCCGGGGCCATTTGCTCTTTCTCTGTGCAGATCCAATCCTGCTAGGAAGAACCTCACCCTACTTAGCTGCTGCTGGGTATCAAATAGATGCTGCTCAAAAGGTGGCTAAAGAGCCTAAGTGGAGATCTGCTTGTATTCTTCATTGATGAAGTCTAAATATGAAGCTAGAACTGAAGACATTCCATCAGATTGACTGTTACAGGGTAGGGAGCTGCAGCACAAGCACAGAGAAGCCAGCAGCTTCATCACATCACACCAGCTCTGCAGCGCCAAGGCAGACACACCAGCTCTGCGGCACCGAGGCAGACACACCAGCTCTGCGGTGCCGAGGCAGAGCCTGCGCCCTCTGATGCTCTGTGTCGTGTTTTTTCCCACTTCGCCATGCTGCATTTTCCTTAGGGCTCTGACATCTCCTTCTGACACTGATTTTTTTTTTTTGACACTGAATTTTTAAATAATTATTTTTCAAGGTGCAACATTTTGACGTCAAAATTCAGCTAGTGAGATTTCCAAAGTCCCTTTCTTCTAATTTCTTATTTCCAAGTATTTTTTTTAATTGCAGCTTAATTTATGATAAGAAGCAGCTGCATTTCTTGACCCCAAAGTACTAGAGTGAATTAATAATTTAACGTGGTGCAACCACTGATTCAAGTGCTTTTAATGTCTCATTTAATCCTAAAGCCTGTGCTGGCCTCTGAGATGTAGTTACTGCTGTTATTCTCATTAAAAAGATGAAAGAACTAAGGTATGAGGTGCTCAAGTAACTTTCCAAAGGTGACTCAGCTAGGAGTGGAGGAGCTCCTGGGAGTGGAGGAGCTCCTCAAAAGTGAGGAGTTCCTTTTTGGATACAGGTGGCTTGGCCCCAGACTTACACTCTTAGATGTTGTTCTCGACCTTTGGACCCAGACTAGCTCACTGGGACATTAGACTATACAGTAAAGGGAGAAGGGAATCCTACCTGACTGCTTCATTGTCAGCAGGATGAATAGGAAGGAGGCGACTGCACCAGACAGATTGTAGCCTGGAAAATCCACCATCCTCCCTGGAACAAAGACAAGGAAACGCTGTGCCTAAGTGAGGCTGTGACACACCCGGCACACTCCATGGCTTCCATTGGTTATGCAGTCTTAGCAGAGAATCCACATCAACCCCTGCACAGTCAGTGAAATGGGCTTGGCTCCATTTCTCTGCAATTACTGATCACATCCAACCCTTTACCTAACGTGTTATATTGTGAGACAATGTAGCAAATGTAAGAAGCCTTGCTTGCTCATTTCGGCTTGCTAGCATACTTTCACAAAGCCCCTGCTGTGATGACCTGCAGTTCTCCAGAAAGATGCTTCAAAGACAAAACAAGATTGAGCACACGGCCTCCCATCTCTCTTGCCTGAGTCACTCTACTCCTTAAAAGATAAGCAATAATAGTCCTTGCCTTTTCCTACACATAAGATAACGTCTGATTGAAGGATACCTCTGTAACCTATAACCAGATCTGCTCATACACCCAAACGTTGATGTAGTTCGGCTTCAATGTAGCTTCTGAGCTAATTTGATGTAGTGGTTAATATGTAACCTCCTGACATCGAAAAGGATATGGATTTGTTTCTGAATCATAAAGTTTTACTGATTGTTTTGTGCATGAAATATTTTAGTCTATATATTGTCATCTGTGTCCAATGATTGTAACCTCTGTATTGTACCCTCCAGTGAAAAAAGACAACTCCAATATGAAGAGCCCCTTTCTTTCTGCCTGAACTTCCTTACAAAAGCCTTCCAACTTGTAACAGACTTTGGACCACCCTCAACTTCGTTGGTGTGTCTTCCTACATCAGTCCTGACATTTGCCTTCCAATAGAACTTTATGAAATTATTCCTGCCTCAGCAACCCTAATTTCATGAGACAATATTTTAAGCAATTTTTTAGGTGTAAGGAAGTCTTGTGACTGAAATGAAAAAACACTTGAGGTAAAGGAACAATAATATTAAAAAAACCCCAAACCAAACCAAAGCAAACAAAACTCCTTAGGTTCATCTGTTGTGAGCTTGCAAAACTTATAGAGCAAGATTCAAATATTTTTTCCTGTCCTCCTCCCAACTCCTCCTGCAAAGCCTTTCTTTACCACTGTTTTCTACACATGGAGGAAAGGGCAGGAAGGCTCTGCGTCTCCACACTGCAGCCAGAAAGCCAACATTCAGTGCTAGCGCTCAGAGAACCCGGGACACAGAGATGCCGTGGAAAGTGAAAGAAAGAGTAGTAGAAAGATAGTCGGGAAAATATCTGTAAGTGGCCTTTTAGAATAGACTTAAAAACACGAATGAATTAAAAAAACAAAAAGCCCAACTGGCAGAAACTGGCAAACCCAGCAACCCCACTGTCCCAGCTGAACAAAAATACTTCACACAGCTAAAAACTTTAAAACTTACCAGGACAAGGATAGAAGGCTAGTTTTACCATTGAAAAATACAAACTTCAGAGTGAAAGAAGTCTAAGACTTATTATATGTGATGTGTCAAGTATTTTATTGAAAGAAAACTTGCTTCACACAAAGTAGAGAAACCAGCTCAGGAGCAATGTCAAGTCAATTACAGTTTCCCCCTTTCCAAGAAACTACTGCTAGTAAGATTTTATGGGACAGGGGTAAAAATCAACATTCTGAAATGGAGATTTAACAATCAAATGAGTCAGGAGATTGTTGTTACACAAATATTGCCCATTTGCTTTATAAAAAATATGTACTTTCATATAAGATATCTCTAAGGAAACTTATATGAGCCCATTCACAATACCTAGATCGAAAAGGGCAGTATGATATTTATGTGAAAATGGGGTTGGGTGTTAGAAGACAGTGCAGACCATGAGCACCTTGCCACCTGAAACTTACCAGTCACCTCCCCTTAGACTGAAGGGTGTTGCTGATGCCTCCCTGACTCCTTTTGTGAAAAGCAGGAACATTTTTTTCCACCAAGTAAGAGTAAAGAAAGCCCCACAACATCCATACCAAGCATGATTTCTCAGCCTTGTGAACTAAAATGAACTCACACTTGCTACAGACCACTTCAGAGGCTTGCGTTCCTGTAGGTCTTTCATGTCAAAGCGGTGGGAGGGAAAATCTACAAGTGAACTCTCAAAAAAATTGCTCAAATCAATGAAGCTTTCGAAGAATGTTGGGAGAATCCATCTCCAGTGCTCAGATAGACTGTGAGAGAATATATCAGGGAGGATAACCACCTTGGACCAGGGTTCTTAATGGGCAAAGAGGCTGTTTTGCCCTTAGAGGACATTTGGCAATGTCTGGGAACATTTTCAGTTGTCACGACTGGGGGAGGGGACATATATTGAGTAGAAACCAGGGGTGTTGCTAAACATTCTATGAGGCACGTGGCAGCCCCCACAACAAAGAGTCATCCAGCCCAGAAGGCCGGTGGTGCCGAGGAAATGCCCTGCCACAGGGTTTGCTGTCAGGATGCTGAAAAGCTTTGGCACATTTTTTGAAAATAGATAACTAGACTTAAATTGCCATCTTTAAGTAAAAACCTTTTAAAATGATAAGCTTTTGACCCCTCCGTTTTACTATTTGGATGTAATGCAAGAATCTTCTGAAACTGCTGTTCCTATTAAATATAGTAAATTTTGGTGTTGTCAAGATATATGATCTAATATGCAAATGTATCATCAAATTCTCAAAAACCCATGTTTAATTTAATTTAATTTTCTGGATAAAGTTTAAGTGTTAAATTGTAATAATAAGTGGTAGCTTATGTTTAGGCATTAGATGATGAACAATTCTGAATTTCAAGGCCTATCCTGCACTGCTAAAACTCATATCAAAGAAAATTGCAAATTACTACGTATCATGCATGGGTCATTAGAACTTTTTTCAGTAAAAGCCTCAAATGTTGCTCCTCAAAATGCCAAGCAGCCATAGTAACTGACTGGTAAGAATAAATTAACTTAGTTCACGAAGTTGAAAGCTTATGTATCTTAGTTCACGAAGTTGAAAGCTTATGTATCTATGTAGACATTAAAAACAGCTATAGTTTGTTTTTTTCTTGTAAATTTGTTTGAGTTCATTGTAGATTCTGGATATTAGCCCTTTGTCAGATGAGTAGGTTGCGAAAATTTTCTCCCATGTTGTAGGTTGCCTGTTCACTCTGATGGTAGTTTCTTTTGCTGTGCAGAAGCTCTTTAGTTTAATTAGATCCCATTTGTCAATTTTGTCTTTTGTTGCCATTGCTTTTGGTGTTTTGGACATGAAGTCCTTGCCCACGCCTATGTCCTGAATGGTAATGCCTAGGTTTTCTTCTAGGGTTTTTATGGTTTTAGGTTTAACGTTTAAATCTTTAATCCATCTTGAATTGATTTTTGTATAAGGTGTAAGGAAGGGATAGACTGGATTAAGAAAATGTGGCACATATACACCATGGAATACTATGCAGCCATAAAAAATGATGAGTTCATATCCTTTGTAGGGACATGGATGAAATTGGAAACCATCATTCTCAGTAAACTATCGCAAGAACAAAAAACCAAACACCGCATATTCTCACTCATAGGTGGGAATTGAACAATGAGATCACATGGACACAGGAAGGGGAATATCACACTCTGGGGACTGTGGTGGGGTCGGGGGAGGGGGGAGGGATAGCATTGGGAGATATACCTAATGCTAGATGACACATTAGTGGGTGCAGCGCACCAGCATGGCACATGTATACATATGTAACTAACCTGCACAATGTGCACATGTACCCTAAAACTTAGAGTATAATAAAAAAAAAAATTAAAAAAAAAAAAACAGCTATAGTTTATCATATGTTAAAACAATACATTTTTATAGAGAAAGCTAAAATAAGATTTCTAGGAGACAAAGTGAATTGGGTTTTTGTGTGTGTGTGTGTGACCTTGGACATCTTTCTTTACTTTTTTGAGCCTGTATTTTCTCTGCTGTGTGGTGGAGACAATCATCCTAATGTTTTCCAAGCTGTGTCATGACCATGTGACATAAGAAGACGTCAAGGCTCAGGGACACATGCCCCACATCATCCATGACAAATGAAAATGTGATCCTGGTTTTCTCGTTTTTAATTTCGTGCTTCTTCCTCACTCAGCCTGCTTCACAAGAACACTGTGAGGGTCAAATGGGCTACAATCGCACTTTGAAGACTGCGCAGTGGGATATAAATGTAAGTGGGAGGCAGTGTAACAGGTGGCAGCATTTCCCTAAAGGACATTGATTCTGTCCGTATGTCCTACTCTGTAATCTGAGACAATGTCCCCAGCTTCCCGTGGCCATCCTTCACCAGGGAATCCAAACCACTCACGTGTCTCCCTCTCTCCTTTGGGGCGAAACCTGGTGCTACTGGGTCTTCTCACTTAGCCCCAGATGTATCTTCATCCACATAGCAGGTGGTCAGAAACAGGTCAGAGCCCTGGGGTGTGCTGATCAAAGACAGAACTGTGGGAGAGCCAGAGAGTGTGGAGGCCTCCTCCAGGACTTTGGGTGAAGGAGGATTTAAGCCGTCTCACCCCAGTTGAAGGCAGAGCCAAATCCCGGAGGCCCTGTGAAAATGAGATTGCATTCTGAAAATCAGAATAGCACATTCACCTCCTAACAGCTATAATCCTCTCAACAGTGAAACTCCAGGGACAAGTGGACTTTGGCTGGGTTCAGTTGTGAATTCTGCAGACGTGCACACAAAATCATGACACTGGCAATTCTCACCTTCCCCAGAAAGCCAAGGCCTTCATGGAGGCCTCATCTGCAACCCCCCAGTTAGGTCCTCACACAGACCCCACCGTCCCACACATCAGCGGGTGCTATCCACCCTTCCCTCCACCTTGCCACACATCAAAGATTCCCAACTAGTGCCAAGTCTCCACCAGAGCATGGCACTCATCGGGCTGGAGTTGGAAGCAAAACTGAATATCAAACGTGCCATCCCTCATTCCACTGATGAGAAAACAGAGACCCAGAGAAAGGAACTGCCCTCTCCAGGATCAGAGCTCTGGGCCAAGGTCCCTTGTGGGCTACTTTATTGCTCTTTTTACTCAGGTACTTTATCTCCCTTTGCTGAGTAATAAAAGGTTTAATTACTCTCAGATGTTTACCAAAGAAATGTAATAACCTTCTCAGCATAATATTTGGGCATGAAGAGTATAATGATAGGCATATTTTGTGTGTGTTTTTGTTTCTGCCAGATTTTCCTTTACGTTCCCCTTAAGTCTGTGTTCCTTGAGCTAGAGGGGGTCTCAGATATAGTCTCAGGATTTCAAGAGTTCTCCAGAACAATTTTTAATTTAATTGCAGATTTTCATGTCAATGTAATGATAAAAGCATATGCAGCATTATGATGTTACAAGGTTTGAGCCGATTTTTTCCTTAAGTTTCTTTCCCTCCCATTATGAGCAGCCCATAATTGGGTCCCCTGACTTACGGTTACGATTCTTAATGTAAGGGTTTCCCCCTCCATCCTTCAGTCTAGACAAAGACCCTCCCCTCACTGTAGAGGATGAGAGATTTGGAGAGAAGAGAAACATAATTAAACATGGACGAGGATAGGAGGGTCTCTTTACCCTGGTTCTCTCTCAATTGGAGTAGAGGGGAATGAACCCCACTTCACCTCCGGTTCCCAGAATGGTAGCGATGCCCACAGATGTCCCTCTCAGAGTGGCAGCAAAGGAAAAGTTCTCCAAGGCAAGAAGTGGCAGACTCTGGAAGGCTCCAACAGTGGGATGAAAGTTTGCTGCCTAAAATGCTGGGATGGAATGTTCCAGCAAGAGGAGAGTGGCATCAAGGACATAACAGTGATCGTCACCACTGTGGGAAGGACAGTGACGACCAGGAAACACGACGCGATAGTGACATATTGTGGGAGCTGATGATGCAAATGTGAGGAGAGACTTCTACACCAGCCCTGCTCCGCCTCCCACCTCAGAACTTAGAAATCACACGGCAGGTGAAGGAGAGGCTGCTATTAAATTAATTGTGTGAAAGCCCCTGAATTTATCTGGAAATTACCAGATGAACTCCTCTGTCAGAAGACATAATAATGCTTGGCATACAAATTAAAATCCGTAATAGGAAAATATAGAAATTTACTTTATACACCTGAATGTGTGAAAAGATGCCGCTCATTGCATGCATTCTGTAGTATCATCTCTATGGTACCAAATGCTGCAATTATTTGAATTTTTTATGGTCAGTCACATCAGCGCCAACTCACCGCGTAAAGAAGCTCCGTTTACACTCGCGTGTGTGTGTTCTCACAAATCATCTGCATACACTTTCTCAGAGGTCTGCCTGTGCTGAGAACTGTGTCCTAAATTATGCTACATATTATGGGAGGTCATTTTGTGCAGGAAGATGTTGGTGTGTGGGAGAGAAAAAAAGGAGTCACAATCTCTGCATTCTGACTAGAGTCCACCTCCAGGAGAAGCGGGAAAACAAGGCATAAGCTGCTAGAACTGAGGAGAGGGAAAAACAAGCATCCGGCGAGGGCAGGAGGAACAGGAGAGGGGAGTCATGGATCTGCCTGGCCACCAGAGGGCAGCAGAGACGGGCTCACTGTCGGCTTCAAGGATGTTCCGCAAGTCGATTTACTTACAGACCCTTCTTCAAATGCGGCGGTCACCTGTGACCCACATTCATAACTCCCTCAGCCACTAGACGACAAAAGAAGCCCTGAGTTTAGGCTGACTGAGATTTTCATTCTAGCTTTGCTATACATTTGGGCAAGCTTTACTTTGGGTAAGTCTGTTCTTTCCAGGGGTCTCAATTTTCTTAGTTTTTACACAGGGATAGTATGTGGGTGGCTCACATTAAAGTATCGTTGTAAGGATAAAGTAAGAATATAATCATGATACAAAATCCCTTTATAGCTATTAGGTGTCATTACTGGGAATGGAAGGTCTTGGAAAGAAGGTGGATAGAAAAATAGAGGAGATTAGAAATGAAGATAAGAAATCAAGGTCAATCCAAGAAATGTCAGGAAAGTGTTGCTATGAATATGGAGAAGTTCAGGCGACGCCATCAGCTGTTTCTTGGGGACCTGGTTGAAAGATGTTTTGAGAGCTCTTAGATCAACTCACCAGAAAGATGATTACTTTGTGGAGTCTCCCAGCAGTGAGACTTATACAGGTATCGTTTCCTCAGGGAAAGGAAAGAAAAATCAGCAGCTCTCATCTCCTGGAGGCACAGTGGCTTGTCCTCCACAGTCCCCTCGGTTTGCTGACTGACTGGAGGAGAGAGAGCACCTGCAGAAGCCCTGCGACTCCTCCCCCAGATGTGAGTGGGGGGCCTGGGATTCCCGAGGCCAGTGAGGGGAGGGTGGTGCTCACAGGACGGAGGCCTTTCCTCACAGCGTGGCCACGGTTCAATCTGCACCTCTGGCC